>NC_000012.12:29680467-29833162 GCF_000001405.40 Homo sapiens | reverse complement strand
GTAGTTTTTTCCAATTCTGTGAAGAAGGGCATTGGTAGATTGATGGGGATGGCATTGAATCTGTAAATTAGCTTGGGCAGTATGGCCAGTTAAAATGGCTTTTACCCAAGAGTCTGGCAATAACAAATGCTGGCAAGGATGTGGAGTAAAGAGAACCCTCATACACTGTTGGTGGGAATGTAAATTTGTACAATCACTATGAAGAACAATTTGGAGGTTCCTCAGAAAACTAAAAATAGAGCCACCATATGATCCAGCAATCCCAC
This sequence comes from Homo sapiens, assembly GCF_000001405.40. Lineage (NCBI taxonomy): Eukaryota > Metazoa > Chordata > Mammalia > Primates > Hominidae > Homo > Homo sapiens. The sequence goes on along the minus strand of NC_000012.12, from coordinate 29,832,896 downwards.
TCCTAGGTATATACCCAAAAGAAACGAAATTAGTATATCAAAGAGATATCTGTACTCTGATGTTTATTGAAGCATTATTCACAATGGCCAAGATTTGGAAGCAGCCTAAGTGTCCATCAACACAGGAATAGATAAAGAAAATATGGTACTTATACATGATGGAGTACTATTCAGCCATAAAAAAGAATGAGATTCTTGTCATTTGCAACAACGCAGATGGAACTGGAGGTCATTATGTTAAGTAAAATAAGTCAGACACAGAAAGACAAACTTCACATATTCTTATTTATTTGTGGGAGCTAAAAATTAAAATAATTGAACAAATGGAGATAGAGGGTAGAAAGATGGTTACCAGAGGCTGGGAAGGGTGGTGGGGGGTAGGGAGGAAGTGAAGATTGCTAATGGGTACCAAAAAAATAGAAAGAATGAATAAGACCTAGTATTTGCTAGCACAACAGGGTGACTGATATGACTCGGATCTGTGTACCCACCCAAATCTTACGATGAAATGTAATCCCCAATGCTGGAAGTGGGGCATGATGGGAGGTGATTACATCATGGGGGTGGTTTTCTCATGGTTTAACACCATTCTTCGTTAGTGCTGTTGTTGTGATAGTGAGCTCTCATGAGATCCAATTGTTTAAAAGTGAGTGGCACCTCCCCCATCTCTCTTGTTCCTACTTCAGCCATGTAATGTGTATGTTCCTTCTTCACTTTCTGTTATGATTGTAAGTTTCCTGAAGCCTCCCTAGAAGCTGAGCAAAGGCCAGAATCATGCTTCTATACAGCCTGCAGAACCGTGAAGGAATTAAAGCTGTTTTCTTTATATGTTACCTAGTCTCAGGTATTTCTCTATAGTCATCCAAGAATGGACTAATACAGAAAATTGCTACCAGGGGTGAGGCATTGCTATAAAGATACCTGAAAATATGGATCCCAGTTTGGAACTGTGTAAAGGGTAGAGGTTGAAAGAATGTGGTGGGCTCAGAAGATAGAAAGATGAGGGAAAATTTGGAACTTCCTACAGACTTGGTAAATTGTGACAAAAATGCTGATGCTGAGATGGACAATGAAGTCTAGGCTGAGGAGGTCTCAGAAGAAAATGGGGAACTTATTGGGAACTGGAATAAAGGTCACTTTTGTTATCTATTAGCAAAGAACTTGGGGGCATTATGCCTCTGCCCTAGGGATCTGTGGAAATTTTGACTTGAGAGTCATGACTTAGGATATCTGGCAGAAAAAATGACTTAGGATATCTGGTAGAAGAAACAACCTATGCTCATATATGTGAGCAAAGAAATGACATAAAACTGGAACTTATATTTAGAAGGTAAACAAAGCATAAAAGTTTGGAAAACTTGCAGCCTGACCATGTGGTGAGGAATTCAATCAGGCTGCAGAAATTTGCATAAGTAAAGAAGAACCGATAGCCAAGACAATGGGAAAAAGGCCTTGAAGGCACTTCAGAGACCTACACAGCAGCCCCTCCCATCACAGGCCTGGAGGGCTAAGAGGGAAGAATGATTTCATGGGCCACGCCCAAGGCCCTGCCACCCTGCACAGCCTCAGGACATTGCTCTCAGCATCCCTGTCACTTCAGCTCCAGCCTTGGCTCAAAGAGGCCCAGGTACAGCTTGGGCCACTGCTTCAGAGGGTGCAAGCCATAAGCCTTGGCAGCTTCCACGTGGTGTTAAGCCTGTAGGTGCACAGAGTGCATTAGCTGAGGCTCGGTAGCCTCCTCCTAGACTTTAGAGAATGTATGGAAAAGCCTGGATGTTCAGGCAGAGGCCTACTGCAGGGGTGGAACCATCATGGAGAACTTCTACTAGGGCAGTGCAGAGGGTAAATGTGGGTTTGGAGGCCCCACACAGAGTCCCCACTGGGACAGTGCTTAGTGGAGCTATGAGAAGGCCACCATCCTCTGGAACCAGGAATGCTACCAACAGCTTGCACTATGAACCTGGAAAAGCCACAGGCACTCAATACCACCCCTTGAGAGCAACTGTGGGGGCTGTACCCTGGAAAGCCACAGAGGCAGAGTTTCCCAAGACTTTGAGAGCCCACCTCTTGCACCAGTGTACCCTGGATGTGAGACACTGAGTTAAAGGAGATTATTTTGCAGTTTTAAGAGTTAATAACTGCCCTGCTGGGTTTTGGACTTGCATGGGCCCTGTAGCCCCTTTCTTTTGGCCAATTTCTCCCTTACCCAGTGCCATAACCCCATTGTATTTTGGGAGCAACTAACTTGTTTTTCATGTTACAGGCTCGTAGGTGGAAGGAAATTGCCTTATCTCAGATGAGACTTTGGACTTTGGACTTTTGGCTTAATGCTAGAATAAACTAAGACTTTGGGAGACTGTTGGGAAGCCATGATTGTATTTTACAATATAAGAAGGACATGAGATTTTGAGGGGCCAGGGGCAGAATGGGGTTTGGTGTCCTCACTAAATCTCAAGTTGAATTCTAATACCCAGTGTTGGAGTGGGGCCTGGTGGGAGTTGATTGCATCATGGGGGTGGAGTTCTCATGAATGGGTTAGCAAAACCCCCACGGTGCTGTTCTCATGACAGTGAGTGACTTATCATGAGATCTAGTTATTTAAGAGTGTGCTTCCTGTGAACAATTAAATTGTTCTACAGAATATGCAGGTAGCTTCCGCTTTGCCTTCTGCCATGAGTAAAAGCTTCCTGAGGCCCCCTCAGAAGCAGACTCTGACATGTTTCCTGTTTATCCTATAAGGCAATTAAACCTCTTTCTTTTTTTTTTTTTTTTTCAGATGGAGTCTTGCTCTGTTGCCCAAGTTGGAGTACAGTGACGTGATCTCAGTTCACTGCAATTACCACCTCCTGGTTTCAAGGAATTATCCTGCCTCAGCTTCCTGACTAGCTGGGATTACAGGTGTGCACCACCATGCCTGGCTAGTTTTTGTGTTTTTAGTAGAGAAGGGGTTTCACCATGTTGGCCAGGCTGGTCTCAAACTCCTGACCTCAGGCGATCCACCCACTTTGGTCTCCCAAAGTGCTGGGAGTGAGCCACCATGCCAGTCGTCTCTTTTCTTTATAAATTATCCAGTCTCCGGTATTTCTTTATAGCAGTGTGAGAATGGACTAGTACAGTGACTATAGTAAAAAATAATTTAATATTACATTTTAAAATAATTAAAAGAATATAATTGGATTGGGCCAGGCATGGTGGCTTACACCTGTAATCCCAGCACTTTGGGAGGCCGAGATGGGCAGAGCACCTGAAGTCAGGAGTTCAGGACCAACCTGGCCAACGTGGTGAAACCCTGTCTCTACTAAAAGTACAAAAAGTAACTGGGCATTGTGGCATGCACCTGTAATCCCAGCTACTTGGGAGGCTGAGGCAGGAGAATCACTGGAACATGGGACATGAAGGTTGCAGTGAGCCAAGATTGCACCACTGCAGTCCAGCCCAGGCAACAGAGTGAGATTGTCTAAAATAAACAAATAAATAAATAAACAAAAGAATATAATTGGATTGTTTGTTACATAAATTATAAATGCTTGTGGTGATTGATACCCCATTTACCCTGATGTGAATATTATGCATTGCATGCCTATAACAAAATCTCTCATGTAACCATAAATATATGCCTACTACATCTCCACAAAAATTAAAAATTAGAAAAAAGATTTGTAGAGAGAAGAACATGAGTTCAGAGGAAGAGGGCTTTCAATTTTAGGGGCTGAGGGTTGGGGTGGTTTAGCTAACAATCCATCATTGGAAAGCAAGTTAGGATGCCTAGCATGCATTGCTTGATGTAGACCTCTAACTCTGTTAGAGAAATTTTGAAGGGGTATTAGACTTCAATTCCTTCATCTTACAGATAAAGAAAAGGAAGACTTTGACATTTTCTTTACCTGTAAATTTTCTTATGTCTATTTACTCGGTAAGTGTTCAGTGCACATGCAGGGTATGAGGATAAGGATAGAGGGATCAGATGAATGATGGAACAAAAGAAATACTGTAATAATTTGTTGTCAAACCTGGCTGGAGGAAATACTGAAATTAATGAAGTATCTTTTCTAATGGAGTACTGCACTGTTCCAAGAATTCACAAAACTGAGCATGATTGATAGTCTTCTAGGTTGATTGGGAGGCATTGTATTCTTGTATAATCCTTCAGTATCTTTGAGAACATTAGTCACCCCTATACTTTTGGAACTCCAGAGGATCATTTGTACAGGTTTATGCTAGATAGAATGTGAGAGAACAAGTACACTATAAACTACATCACCACCTTTCAGGAGCTTACCAACTAAGTCAAATGACCTCAACAGACCCATTTATTCAGGGTGTGTAATCTCTGTCTTCCAGATCTGATGCCAACAGTGTGGACTCATCGTTTAAGTAGAAGGATGTATGTATTCTAATAAGGCACTTTTTTAAAAAATTATATTTTAAGTTCTGGGATACATGTGCAGAATGTGCAGGTTTGTTACATAGGTATACACGTGACATGGTGGTTTGCTGCACCCATCGACCCATCATCTACATTAGGTATTTCTCCTAATGCTATCCCTCCCCTTGCCCCCCACCCCCCAACAGGCCCCAGTGTGTGATGTTCTCTTTCCTGTGTTCACGTGTTCTCATTGTTCAACTCCCACTTATGAGTGAGAACATGCAGTGTTTGGTTTTCTGTTCCTGTGTTAGTTTGCTGAGAATGACGATTTCCAGCTTTATTCATGTCCCTGCAAAGGACATGAACTCATCCTTTTTTATGGCTGCATAGTATTCCATGGTGTATATGTGCCACATTTTCTTTATCCAGTCTATCAATGATGGGCATTTGGGTTGGTTCCAAGTTTTTGCTATTGTGAATAGTGCTAAAATAAGCATACGTGTGCATGTGTCATTATAGTAGAATGATTTATAATTCTTTGGGTATATACCCAGTAATGGGATTGCTGAGTCAAATGATATTTCTGGTTCTAGATCCTTGAGAAATTCCCATGCTGTCTTCTACAACGGTTTAACAAATTTACACTCCCACCAACAGTGTAAAAGCATTCCTATTTCTCTATATCCTCTCCAGCATCTGTTGTTTCCTGACTTTTTAATGATCACCATTCTAACTGGCATGAGATGGTATCTCATTGTGATTTTGATTTGCATTTCTCTAATGACCAGTGATGATGAGCTTTTTTTCATGTTTGTTGGCCGCATAAATGTCTTCTTTTGAGAAGTGTCTGCTCATATACTTTGCCCACTTTCTGATGGGGTTGTTTATTTTTTTCTTGTAAATTTGTTTAAGTTCCTTGTACATTCTGGATATTAGCTGTTTGTCAGATTGATAGATTGCAAAAATTTTCTCCCATTCTGTAAGTTGCCTGTTCACTCTGATGGTAGTTTCTTTTGCTGTGCAGAAGTTCTTCAGTTTAATTAGATCTCATTTGTCAATTTTGGCTTTTGTTGCCATTGCTTTTGGCGTTTTAGTCATGAATTCTTTGCCCATGCCTATGTCCTGAATAGTATTGCCTAGGTTTTCTTCTAGGGTTTTTATGGTTTTAGGTCTTATGTTTAAGTCTTTAATCCATCTTGAGTTAATTTTTGTATAATGCGTAAGGAAGGGGTCCAGTTTCAATTTTCTGCATATGGCTAGCCAGTTTTCCCAACACCATTTATTAAATAGGGAATCCCTTCCCCATTGCTTGTTTTTGTCAGGTTTGGCAAAGATCAGATGGTTGTAGATGTGTGGCGTTATTTCTGAGGCCTCTGTTCTATTCCATTGGTCTATATATCTGTTTTGGTACCAGTACCATGCTGTTTTGATTACTGTAGCCTTGTAGTATAGTTACTAAGGCACTTTTAATTGCTGACTTGGTGCCATATATTAGATGATACTGAATGGACAAGTGAGCATGGCCTGGGACTTTGGAATAGAATGCCCTCTTTGCAGAAATAAGTAGCTCATTCATAGGAAACAAAACTATATTCCTGACCTCTCCTGTAAGCTATTATGGTTTTTAGCATGCAATCCTGATGTATGTGTATTTACCTATTTATAAATTGTATTATGTTGTACAAATATAATATTTGTACAAAATCAATATTTAAAAGGATAAGATAAAAATAAATCAAATAGATATCTATTTGTTCCTTCCCGCAGAAAATGGGGTGGGTAAAACTCATATGTAAATTATTTCTAGCCATCTCTGAACTATGTTCATTATACCTCACTTTCAATCCCAGCCCCACCTGAATATTCTGTTTCCTAATACTAAATTATACATTAAACCTTACAAAAAACATGTTAAGTAACAAGGGAAAAAAGATGGAAAATAATAAAATAGGTAGCATATACAAACACACCCATACACACACACACACATGAAAAACAGCAGCAGCAAACAAAGAAGAAGCTATGTGCAGCTGCTACGGTATTCATTTCTGTAACCCCTCACAATATTGTGGTTGGTATTCATAACTTCCTTCTTCTATTACACATCCTATGTTTTCTTTCCCATTAGCCAGAATTTTAGCTGGCTAGGGTTCTTACCCAAAAAGTCTAAATCTTCAATTCCTCTTTTTTTTAATTGGTTGCTGTAGCTTTCAGTTAATATTTAGTATTAGAAAAGGAGGTAGTAAGAGTCATCACAGAGAATCTCTTGGGTTCCAGAAACAGTCCTCCCTGTTCACATTTTCTAGCATCAATTCTGTTTCCTCTTGGTTGTCAAGATCAGCCATCAGCCACCCAACCAGAATAACTCTCTCCTTCTTTGCCTGTTAGCTTCCTATTAATGAGGAACTAAAAATGATCAGGTATTCTTGGCTCTGAAAAATGAAAACTTTATTTTTCTGAAGTTTCAAACTTCAGATCCATAGAACCATTGTTGTAAGGATTTCTCTCTTGGGAACCAAGACCTCAGAGTAGCAGGTCTTGTAGATGTAGATTCAAAAATTCTGCAAATGGGTTATTTGGTGTAGTAATGAGAGAAGTCATTCCCACTTCAACTCACTTCTTCCTAGACTCATGTATTCTGGCTTTGGGAGAAACAGCACCCTGTATTGTTCCTCAGTTGAAAGAAATATACTATATCCTATATGATGGCAACATATGTTCTCAGGGTTTTATGTTTTTTGGTGCTATTGCATATGGAAGTTGTAAATTTTCATTTCCGTGTTATTTTCGTGTTACATAAAAATACAACTGATTTTAGTATACTAGCCTTGATCCTGTGATTTTGTTCATTTCATTTATTAGTTCTAGTAGTTTTTTTAATAAATCCCTTAGGAATTTTATGTAAACAATCATGTTATCTACAAAGAGAGAGCTTTACTTCTTCCTTCCTGATCATTTTTTAAATTTCTTTTTTCCTTTTTGCCTTATGGCAATGGCCAAAACCTCCAGGACAATGTTGAAAAGAAGTAGTGAGAGTGGGTATCCTCTAAGGAGGGTGCACCGCACACTGCTTAGCTGGTTCTGGTGTCCTGAATTCAGCAAAGAGGGCTGAGACCCAGACCTCTAAGGAGGGTGGAGTGCTGCTGGCTGGCTGGTGCAGGTATGTCCTGAATCTGGATCTGCAAGTGTTACAAAAATTACAAATTGGATTCAACTGCTGCTACAAGGAAGAACTGTTTCTGCTAAGATGAAGCATTGCTAGAGGGATAGGCACAGGAACAGGAAAAGAGGAAAATGAAATCCTTTCCTCATCCTTAACTGTCCAGTTTCCCTCTGGTGCTTGCATTTAAAAAAACAGAGCCTAATACAGAATTAGTTGGCAGAACAGAGATGTAGTTTGCCGCATTCCAGATGCAGCGTAACAACAGTGAGATACAGTAGAGTGGATTTGGAGCTGAGGGACAACAACTTAATAACAGGCATGCAAGAAGTATGCATTATGGACTTATCAGACCCAGGAATACGTTTTCTTGGCTTCCAGAGTGAGTCCTAGAAGTCATTAGAACTTTACCTCTGTTTTTGTTTTATGCTTTAGTTCTGAGATTTGTTTGGGAAAGACTCATGCTCTAACAGTTTTGCTCTGCTCTGAGATCTGTCTCCTACTGAGATGACGGGAGCTTACCTCTGTGAATTTAAGCTTTTGACCTGAAACCTCTTTCATGTTTCACTCCTAGTCTAAACTCAGCCTATCCCAGCTTTTCTCCCTCATTCTTTCCCCACTTTCCTGACTCATTTGAACTTACCTCCACAAAGGATTTTATTCTTGGCCCTGAAAAATGAAAACTTTATTTTTAGCATCTTGTGTGTTAAATGGTATGCTTCCATTCAATGTACTACTAGAACAGGACTTTTATCTCTCCCTTCCTTTGACATATTCATGCATACACATTTACACACTTTATAAGCATATGCACACCTGGAAATGTCAGTGTATAAAGACTGACATTTTTGCTTAGAGGAGTGAAGGGAATTTCTCACCATTGCACAAGGAGAGAAATGCCATTAATATTCAGCCTTCACATTGGTTGATTCTAAAGATCTTTCTCTTCCCATTTTCCACCCTATTACTCCTCTCTTCTTTTTAATACTAAGAATAATAACTCAACTTACAACACTTCATTTTTCAAAATGTTTTCACATATCTTGCAGTATGTGACAATCACAACTTCTCTGGAAAGAGGACAGATCACATTATTTTCTTTATGTCACAAGAGAGGAAACTTGGCTTAGGACATTTTCCAATGGAAGGAGAAAAATATTGCCAATAGGAAGCATTCAATCAGTGAATCTGTCTCCATTTCAGTGCAATTTTAATTAAAGCTCATTTTCAAAACATTTTAAAATTAATCTTACATCTATAATACCTGCAATCTATTTTACTTCCAGTGCCTGTGTACTATTGAGTAGCACTGTCTGTGCTTTTATAGATTGTTTTATTTGTCAGGGGGCATGTGTAAGGATGCAAATGTCTTTACTGTTCACTTCTAAGTCTGAAACTTATCAGATCCAGGCAAGGTCATTATTGGGAGTAAAGTCAGAATAAAATTTGTGTTGAATTTACTTGTAGGAAACTTTAATGTCTTAAAAGCTTATTCCCCACAGTATTAATCAGTACATTTACATTTTTATTCTAGTTCTCTCTTTTCTCTACTTTTGTTTTTTTTTTTTTTGCGTGGCCAATATCCATAAGTTTATTTTTTTTAAGAGTTTATATGTATAATGTAAGGGATTTATTTATTATATGAAAGATTCCATAAGAATTTCCAATTAAGCTACAAGAATAGCCACCTATAGCACCAAATGAGGGCCACCTGTATTTTAAAATGATGGTAACCAAGATCATGAAGAATAGCAATCAACACCTAAGGACAGTAGAAAACACTATGGTTGTGTGGCCTGAATATAAGAGAGGGAGCACATAGGTACATTTGTAATATGTCTAATATGCCAAGAAGAATGGGAGCAGTCTTAGAGGTGGACCTAGGTTGGTAAACAATAGCTTTTTGCATTTATAACTTTTTTTCTTTTTTTTTTCTTTTATTATTATTATACTTTAAGTTTTAGGGTACATGTGCACAATGTGCAGGTTAGTTACATGTGTATACGTCTGCCATGCTGGTGTGCTGCACCCATTAACTCGTCATTTAGCATTAGGTATATCTCCCAATGCCATCCCTCCACCCTCCCCCCACCCCACAACAGTCCCCAGAGTGTGATGTTCCCCTTCCTGTGTCCATGTGTTCTCATTGTTCAATTCCCACCTATGAGTGAGAATATGCAGTGTTTGGTTTTTTGTTCTTGAGATAGTTTACTGAGAATGATGATTTCCAATTTCATCCATGTCCCTACAAAGGACATGAACTCATCATTTTTTATGGCTGCATAGTATTCCATGGTGTATATGTGCCACATTTTCTTAATCCAGTCTATCATTGTTGGACATTTGGGTTGGTTCCAAGTCTTTGCTATTGTGAATAATGCCACAATAAACATACGTGTGCATGTGTCTTTATAGCAGCATGATTTATAATCCTTTGGGTATACACCCAGTAATGGGATGGCTGGGTCAAATGGTATTTCTAGTTCTAGATCCCTGAGGAATCGCCACACTGACTTCCACAATGGTTGAACTAGTTTACAGTCCCACCAACAGTGTAAAAGTGTTCCTATTTCTCCCCATCCTCTCCAGCACCTGTTGTTTCCTGACTTTTTAAAGATTGCCATTCTAACTGGTGTGAGATGGTATCTCATTGTGGTTTTGATTTGCATTTCTCTGATGGCCAGTGATGGTGAGCATTTTTTCATGTGTTTTTTGGCTACATTAATGTGTTCTTTTGAGAAATGTCTGTTCATGTCCTTTGCCCACTTTTTGATGGGGTTGTTTGTTTTTTTCTTGTAAATTTGTTTGAGTTCATTGTAGATTCTGGATATTAGCCCTTTGTCAGATGAGTAGGTTGCGAGAATTTTCTCCCATTTTGTAGGTTGCCTGTTCACTCTGATGGTAGTTTTGCTGTGCAGAAGCTCTTTAGTTTAATTAGATCCCATTTGTCAATTTTGGCTTTTGTTGCCATTGCTTTTGGTGTTTTAGACATGAAGTCCTTGCCCATGCCTATGTCCTGAATGGTATTGCCTAGGTTTTCTTCTAGGGTTTTTATGGTTTTAGGTCTAACATTTAAGTCTTTAATCCATCTTGAATTAATTTTTGTATAAGGTGTAAGGAAGGGATCATTATTTGGAGGGTGCTGTGGTCTGAATGATCATGTCTCTCCAAAATTCATGTGATAAAACCTGGCCCCCAAGGTGGTGGTATTAAAAAGTGGGGCCTTCAGGAGGTAATTAGATGATGAGGGCAAAGCCTTCATGAAAGAGAAGGTGCTCATTTGAAAGAGGCTCAAGGGAACTCCCTGGGTGCTTCCTTCATGGGAGGACATAGCTAAAGGCACCATCGTGCAAATGGAGAGTAAGTCCACAACAAACAATGAATCTGCTGGCACTTTAATCTTAGATTTCCCAGCTCCCAGAACCATGAGCAGTAAATTTCTATTATTTATAAGTTACCCAGTCTAATGAATTTGTTATAGCAGCCTGAATAGAATAGAATAGAATAAGACAAGCAGGGGGGCATATCATTTAGAATATCTGGTTCTTCACTTAGTGAATGGTTTAGAAGAAAAAATACAAAATGAAGGGTATGCCCTAATTTCTTGCTGCAGTGTTGACTTTGCATTACTCCAGAGCTAAGAGAGTATAGCTAGCGATCACTTATATGAATCCCCCTAAGTATCTTGTCTTCTGTTTCTCAGCAGTGATGTGGGGGTTTCTAACTCCATATCCTTCCAGTGTCTTCTTTTTTCTTTATGAAGTGGAGTAGCCAATTTCCGGGATTACTTACAACTCTAGTCTTGAGGAGTGAATTGGCAATCACACCACCATTTCTTAGCTATAAGCCCGGCAATCCAAATCACAAACTTTCAGCAAAGAAATTCTCTAAAATCCAACAATTTCATCCTCATCCCCTGTGCCTCTGGGATACAGAAACTCATGAGATGATTTTATTGAATGCTTACTACTGTCAGCCTCTCCTGCCTTACAAACCTGACTTCACTGTGATGGTTAACTTATGTCAACCTGGCTACTTGGCTGGGCTATGGTTAAGCAGTTTCTGGATGTTTCTGTGAAGGTTAAATGTTAATTGCATTTAAATCAGTGGACTTCGAGTAAATCAGTTTACCCTCCACGATGTGGGTGGACCTCATCCAATCAATTGGAGGCCTGAAGAGAATAAAGACTGATCTTCCCCAAGAAAGAAGAAATTCTGCCAGCAGACTGCCTTCAGACTCCAACTGCAAAAATTCTGAGTCTCCAGTCTGCCAGTCTACCCTGAAGATTTAGGATTTGCCAGCCTCCACAATCATGTGAGCCAATTCCTTAAAATCTGCACCCCCATATATATTCTCTCTCTCTCTCTCTCTCTGTCACACACACACACACACACACACACACGCACACACACATCCTGTTGCTCCTGTTTCTCTGGAGAACCCTGATTGACTTAACCCTTACAATAATTGTTAAGTAGCATTATCACATTTTCAGAGGGTAAAACTGGAGCTCAGAGAGATTAAATGATATTCCCAAGATCATACAGTTAATATGTAGAAGGACCAGATTTGAAGCTCTGTTGTTTCCAAAGTTAGCGTTCTGACTACTATGCTATATATTTGTTCTGCCATGCTATGCTATGCCACACTATATTACAATGCAAAGTCAAATAACCATCACTAAAACTTAAACGTGCATGCAAAGATCCAGTGGCATCTTACCTTCCTGAATAGTTTTGAGTTATATGCCATAACCCACATGCTGTGTAGCATGAATTGATGAAACGAACATCTGAGATCCTTTTGCCTGGGGAACGTTTAACAGTGTTGCTCAGAAAATGCTACTTCACTCAGCTATTGGGAGATCCATTTTAACTTGGACTCAAGCAGAAAGAAATTGTTTCCCCCAAAGATTTTGAATACTTATTTTCTTAATAGCTTTGAAAAAAAACACTTATAACCTGACTATATAAGAATATACTACAGATTAAATTACTTCAATTGTATTAAACAAGGGTATAATAAAGAATAATGTATCTTCAATTTTACCACTCCAACAAACCAAACATTTCATTTTTTTTAGTTTTCTTTTCAGTTTTGTACAAGTTATAATGATAATAGACATACAATTTTTATTCTCCTTTCACAAAAGAAAAAATTATTTTAATAGAGGGAAGAAAAGTACTTTTTTTTAATTTCAGAAGGAAATTTCACAGCCAAGAAGAAAATATCGGTGTTGAGCTATGCCTGAAACGTGTCACTTTGTGTACCAAGCACTTAGGGCTAAACATAAAAAAAAAATTAAGCTGATCCCAGATCATTTTCTTTGATTCAGTTCACATAATTAGAACCTGATTTGTACCAAGAGTGAGTAAAGAAAAGTCAGGAAAGCCCAGGAGACCCTGTTCTCCAAGCCGTTGAGAACATCATCTATTCTAAACTTAAATTTTAGCCACCTGTGTAAGCTTCCCAGCCATTCAGTAACCTGCTGATTTGTGTAAAGTACCCCAAGAGTAACCAAGAAGATGGACTGTAAGTGAAAGCTTCTGTCAAACAGAAAGGGCAAATCAATAGAAAAGTGTGGTGCTGGAAAAGCATAAAAAGCATAGTGGATTATAGCAGAGGGGTGTAATCCTTCTTTTGTTCTTCTGTAGAAAAAAACGAAAGAATGAATGAGCCTACACTCTGGTTAGTGGAGCCTGGAATTTCATGGCTAGGTATATTACACTATATCATGTGGCCATCTGCTCTGGTCCTATTAAAATTAGGAGTTCCTTGGGAAAACATTAAGTTTTACAACATCCTAAGAAGTGTTTCCTGCAAAATGGGTTAAAATTGGTTTGAGATAATGAAGTCACAGTATGAGACTGATGAATGCCTCCTCCAGGAGCTGTTGGGGCAGCCAGCAATGAGCCATGGGAATTGGTATTAGATCTGGTCAGAATTGGACATCTTCACTAATGATCTGGAAGAGGAAGTCAATGGCTCATTAATGAAATCCACAGATAAAGTGGAATGATGGATTGATTGGATGCAAGAAAGCAAAGAAATTAGTGATATTAGTAAAATGAGATGCAACTTATGGAAATGTTCACTCATCCTCGAAACAGAAAATCACCATCTGGAAGTCATTTAAATGGAGCAATGAGTCCGGAAAGCACCACTGCCAGCAGAGGCCTGGAGATGATGCCAGGAAGGTTAGACAAAGATGGGAGATGGAGCCAGAACAATCAGAGCTTCTCCCTGGAAAGACCTCATGACATTTGGCCAGTGGAGATAAGCTTCCCAAAGCTCCTGACACCCAGCCAGAGCCTCTGAAAAACCACTCTGCCTCTGTGTGGTGGCCAGCCTGTCCTCTGACTTCTAGCTCTGGCTGGAAAGATGGCTCCAGATGGGCTTCTCATTACTGTTTTCAACAAGGCAAGGTTGATGGTGTCCAACATTTTGCTCCTTTGAGGCCAATAATTAGGCCAAGGCCAGAGGTACAGGTCCAGCATCAGTATGAAAGACTGAATAGTGTGTCGATTGGGGTCCTCTCTGGCCCATACTTCCATTCTAAGATAGGTGTGTGCCATAGTCACAGTCCTGCTGCCTGTGGCATCTGCTGCTTCTGTCACCACACGGCTTGACCACTGACCTGCTAAAGCTTTCAAGGCTGTAGCATTTTGAGTTCCTTTTGCTGGCATCCATGTGCCACCCCTTCCATGTCCTATGACCTCCTGACGCACCACGTGGAATTGAAAAAATGTAAGTGTTCACCAGTGAAAACCTGTGACTTAAAAAGGCCTGGTTGCAACCATCTGTTTCCTCCAGTTTCAGGAACATGCAAGTCCCTCCTCTAGGTCTGGCTGAACGTCTCCCTCTCAACCCCTCTCTACTGTGGCAAATTGAGTGTGAGTTTATCAGAGGCTCCTAACCTTCCTCTGATATAAATGGAGCTCAGGCCTCCCAAACTAATGACCTTCTTTCCCTCTTTAGTGATGTCCTCTCCCCTGTAGAGCAATAAGACACAGCCAATTTCTCTATCACATCACAACGTCTTCTAAGTTAGCCTCACGTCAGCTTTCTAAACTCTTGAAAAAATAAGTCATTTCCTTGTGAGAGCCCAAAAGTCCATTAAATGAGATTTTTCCAACATAATTTTCTTGGGCCATCCAGAAAGCTTATTTTAAGTTTATTGTTATTTAACATTTGGAGGAGTTATGGATTACTAGGTGAACCTGGAAGTGAATTGTTACATGATTATTAGATTACCAAATAAATGGCAATAATAGGCAGAATTGTCATGGTCCTAGCATTTTAAATCAGAAGTATCTGATGGACTGTGAATTTGAATGGGACACCCTGAACCTGGGCTTCTTTAAGGTTAAGGTTAATTGATCCCTGTTACAACCCTGAGGTGGAGAGCTAAGGTCCTGCTGGTGCCAGCTCACATCACTTTAGTCCAGACCTCCTTACCCCTGAACTCTCTTTAGGGCACTGAATCCAGCACACACACCCCTTCCTGCTCTGTGACATAAAAAGACCAGTTTCAAGGTACAGTCCTCTGAGAATGCAGTGTTGGGGACTACATCCAACAAGAATTTTAGACAGTCTGGCTCAGTCCTGATGGACCAAACTCAGGTGAAGCCTTCACTTGGCTCATAGCCCCTACTGGAGCTAGAACCATTGCTTGTCAAATGTCAACTGGATGCCACCATCCAGCATTTAAGAGAAAGGCTCTGACATTTCCCAACCCCTGCAATCTTTGCTTCTGTTGTTCCCATCATGAAGACTCCACTTGCTCCACTGGTCTTTCCCTCTGAGCCATTACAGTGGCAGCTGCTGAGATTACCTTTAATGTCACCCTCAATTAACCTGACAGGATACAGTCCTCTCAAACCCCTCTTGGGACTAAGAGAAAATAAGAGACTTAGGGTGGGTAACTGAAAATGCTTTTATATTCCTGGCTCTTCTGCAGGTAAATCTCTCAGAAAATTGCTGCTTTATTGTTTCCAGGCACTGAGCTCACATTACACCAGCCCAAGCCTGGAAGGCTCTGTCAGCCCATCCATCAGCTTTTAAGGGGTGAAAACCTTTGGGAAACATGGAAACCACTCAACTTGGAAACATTAATGAAATGGTTCAAGTAAACACCAAATCTTCATGCCTGGATGTTACCTTCCAATTTCTTCTTTCAGATAAAAACAACATGAAACTATATTGCAATAGAAATAAGCAGGAAAAAAAACCAGAAAGGAAATGTGTGTTTGTGCGTGTATACACAGGACACAGAGCCAAAAGCATGGGGAATTTTCCAAAGGAAATGAAAATGTAGTTCCTGTCAACCTTTCTCAGAGAAGCCATTCTTTCCTCTCTGGAAGCTGGACCGTATACAACCAGAAGCATTACTGTCTTTACCAAAGTAATAGGGTGTTGGATATTTCTCCATATACAAATGAGTTTTATTACTTAATTGCTTATTTTTCAAGTATACAATATTTGAGTAACATTAATTGCTCAGAAAGCAACATTGACAATTTAACCAAAAGACAAGAAAGGAATCTCGCTAGCTAGTTCAATCTTCTTTCAAGTTTGGAACATGTTAAGCAAATTTTATGATACCTAATAGATTATGGACTATTATCTCACTGAATTATATTAATCACTATAAGACCAAGAGATAGTATGTACATATTTAGCTCATGAAAGTATAAGATACCCAGTTAATTTTGGTTTTAAATGAATAACAGGTAATTTTTAGTATAATCAACAAACATTGTGTGGAATATATACTATACAAGAAAAATGTATCTGAAATTCAATTTTAACTGGCCATATTGTATTTTATTTGGCAATCCCACAAAAAGACCAGTTTTACCCAAAATGCTTCTAGTGTCTGTATGCATCAGTACTTACCAAACAACGTGGCTTGCCCTTTAGAAACCAACTGTTTCTTAACAATTGACCTAACCATTTGGATGTCATCGAGGAATATATTTAGAAAAAAATGAGAATGAAGGTTGAATATGTTGTCCTTTCTCATCCAGATGTCGATGTCATAGTTTCCTGCTCTTTAATCCTTATTCTATTTTTCTAATAATAAAGATTAGATAAGTGCTTTTTCCTAGAAGGACCCCTTGACCACAGTCAATTTCTTAATCATTCTGAAATAGAAACTTGAACATGTACTGAAAAAAACAATATGAGAAACAAGAATTTTATGCCGATATTTTGAATTGGCTAATTGTGTCTGGAAATTTATTGATTTTTTTTTTCAAAAATAAGATTTCCAAATTAGGCAAGTGATAGTGTTTCATTTAACGACAAGGAGTTGAAATTGACTTTGATTTTCAAATGCTTTTTCTCACTCTTGTTAAAGTTTTCTAAAGATTGTCTTCATTCTAAGAAATTAATATTTCTAGCTTCCCATTAAAAAGAAAAAACATATTTTTGACTTGTAAAATTATTATCATATTTAAAAACTATCTTCCAAAATATTTCTGAGGACATTATGTTTATTGAGTGAAACTTGTGTTAGGTGGAACTATACCACTCTTCGTTAGAGTTGATCAAATATGATTGAGTACAAAATATCCTAAAACTTACAACAATATAGAATCCAATGATTTTTTTAAAATTTATTATTATTATACTTTAAGTTTTAGGGTACATGTGCACAAAGTGCAGGTTAGTTACATATGTATACATCTGCCTTGCTGGTGCGCTGCACCCACTAACTCGTCATCTAGCATTAGGTATATCTCCCAATGCCATCCCTCCCCCCTCCCCCCACCCCACAACAGTCCCCAGAGTGTGATGTTCCTCTTCCTGTGTCCATGTGTTCTCATTGTTCAATTCCCACCTATGAGTGAGAATATGCAGTGTTTGGTTTTTTGTTCTTGCGATAGTTTACTGAGAATGATGATTTCCAATTTCATCCATGTCCCTACAAAGGACATGAACTCATCGTCTTTTATAGCTGCATAGTATTCCATGGTGTATATGTGCCACATTTTCTTAATCCAGTCTATCATTGTTGGACATTTGGGTTGGTTCCAAGTCTTTGCTATTGTGAATAGTGCCGCAATAAACATACGTGTGCATGTGTCTTTATAGCAGCATGATTTATAGTCCTTTGGGTATATACCCAGTAATGGGATGGCTGGGTCAAATGGTATTTCTAGTTCTAGATCCCTGAGGAATCGCCACACTGACTTCCACAATGGTTGAACTAGTTTACAGTCCCATCAACAGTGTAAAAGTGTTCCTATTTCTCCACATCCTCTCCAGCACCTGTTGCTTCCTGACTTTTTAATGATTGCCTTTCTAACTGGTGTGAGATGGTATCTCATTGTGGTTTTGATTTGCATTCCTGTGATGGCCAGTGATGGTGAGCATTTTTTCATGTGTTTTTTGGCTGCATAAATGTGTTCTTTTGAGAAGTGTCTGTTCATGTCCTTCGCCCACTTTTTGATGGGGTTGTTTGTTTTTTTCTTGTAAATTTGTTTGAGTTCATTGTAGATTCTGGATATTAGCCCTTTGTCAGATGAGTAGGTTGCGAAAATTTTCTCCCATTTTGTGGGTTGCCTGTTCACTCTGATGGTAGTTTCTTTTGCTGTGCAGAAGCTCTTTAGTTTAATTAGATCCCATTTGTCAATTTTGGCTTTTGTTGCCATGGCTTTTGGTGTTTTAGACATGAAGTCCTTGCCCATGCCTATGTCCTGAGTGGTAATGCCTAGGTTTTCTTCTAGGGTTTTTATGGTTTTAGATCTAACGTTTAAGTCTTTAATCCATCTTGAATTGATTTTTGTATAAGGTGTAAGGAAGGGATACAGTTTCAGCTTTCTCCATATGGCTAGCCAGTTTTCCCACCACCATTTATTAAATAGGGGATCCTTTCCCTATTGCTTATTTTTCTCAGGTTTGTCAAAGATCAGATAGTTGTAGATATGCAGCATTATTTCTCAGGGCTCTATTCTGTTCCATTGATCTATATCTCTGTTTTGGTACCAGTACCATGCTGTTTTGGTTACTGTAGCCTTGTAGTATAGTTTGAAGTCAGGTAGTGTGATGCCTCCAGCTTTGTTCTTTTGGCTTAGGATTGACGTGGCGATGCGGGCTCTTTTTTGGTTCCATATGAACTTTAAAGTAGTTTTTTCCAATTCTGTGAAGAAAGTCACTGGTAGCTTGATGGGGATGGCATTGAATCTGTAAATTACCTTGGGCAGTATGGCCATTTTCACGATATTGATTCTTCCTACCCATGAGCATGGAATGTTCTTCCATTTGTTTGTATCCTCTTTTATTTCATTGAGCAGTGGTTTGTAGTTCTCCTTGAAGAGGTCCTTCACATCCCTTGTAAGTTGGATTCCTAGGTATTTTATTCTCTTTGAAGCAATTGTGAATGGGAGTTCACTCATGATTTGGCTCTCTGTTTGTCTGTTGTTGGTGTATAAGAATGCTTGTGATTTTTGTACATTGATTTTGTATCCTGAGACTTTGCTGAAGTTGCTTATCAGCTTAAGGAGATTTTGGGCTGAGACAATGGGGTTTTGTAGACATACAATCATGTCATCTGCAAACAGGGACAATTTGACTTCCTCTTTTCCTAATTGAATACCCTTTATTTCCTTCTCCTGCTTAATTGCCCTGGCCAAAACTTCCAGCACTATGTTGAATAGGAGTGGTGAGAGAGGGCATCCCTGTCTTGTGCCAGTTTTCAAAGGGAATGCTTCCAGTTTTTGCCCATTCAGTATGATATTGGCTGTGGGTTTGTCATAGATAGCTCTTATTATTTTGAAATACGTCCCATCAATACCTAATTTATTGAGAGTTTTTAGCATGAAGAGTTGTTGAATTTTGTCAAAGGCCTTTTCTGCATCTATTGAGATAATCATGTGGTTTTTGTCTTTGGTCTGTTTATATGCTGGATTACATTTATTGATTTGCGTATATTGAACCAGCCTTGCATCCCAGGGATGAAGCCCACTTGATCATGGTGGATAAGCTTTTTGATGTGCTGCTGGATTCAGTTTGCCAGTATTTTATTGAGGATTTTTGCATCAACATTCATCAAGGATATTGGTCTAAAATTCTCTTTTTTGGTTGTGTCTCTGCCCGGCTTTGGTATCAGGATGATGCTGGCCTCATAAAATGAGTTAGGGAGGATTCCCTCTTTTTCTATTGATTGGAATTGTTTCAGAAGGAATGTTACCAGTTCCTCCTTGTACCTCTGGTAGAATTTGGCTGTGAATCCATCTGGTCCTGGACTCTTTTTGGTTGGTAAGCTATTGATTATTGCCACAATTTCAGAGCCTGTTATTGGCCTATTCAGAGATTCAACTTCTTCCTGGTTTAGTCTTGGGAGGGTGTATGTGTCAAGGAATTTATCCATTTCTTCTAGATTTTCTAGTTTATTTGCATAGAGGTGTTTGTAGTATTCTCTGATGGTAGTTTGTATTTCTATGGGATCGGTGGTGATATCCCCTTTATCATTTTTTATTGCATCTATTTGATTCTTCTCTCTTTTTTTCTTTATTAGTCTTGCTAGTGGTCTATCAATTTTGTTGATCCTTTCAAAAAACCAGCTCCTGGATTCATTAATTTTTTGAAGGGTTTTTTGTGTCTCTATTTCCTTCAGTTCTGCTCTGATTTTAGTTATTTCTTGCCTTCTACTAGCTTTTGAATGTGTTTGCTCTTGCTTTTCTAGTTCTTTTAATTGTGATGTTAGGGTGTCAATTTTGAATCTTTCCTGCTTTCTCTTGTGGGCATTTAGTGCTATAAATTTTCCCCTACACACTGCTTTGAATGCATCCCAGAGACTCTGGTATGTTGTGTCTTTGTTCTCGTTGGTTTCAAAGAACATCTTTATTTCTGCCTTCATTTCGTTATGTACCCAGTAGTCATTCAGGAGCAGGTTGTTCAGTTTCCATGTAGTTGAGCAGTTTTGAATGGGATTCTTAATCTTGAGTTCTAGTTTTATTGCACTGTGGTCTGAGAGATAGTTTGTTATAATTTCTGTTCTTTTACATTTGCTGAGGAGAGCTTTACTTCCAAGTATGTGGTCAATTTTGGAATAGGTATGGTGTGGTGCTGAAAACAATGTATATTCTGTTTATTTGGGGTGGAGAGTTCTGTAGATGTCTATTAGGTCTGCTTGGTGCAGAGCTGAGTTCAATTCCTGGGTATCCTTGTTAACTTTCTGTCTCATTGATCTGTCTAATGTTGACAGTGGGATGTTAAAGTCTCCCATTATTAATGTGTGGGAGTCTAAGTCTCTTTGTAGGTCACTCAGGACTTGCTTTATGAATCTGGGTGCTCCTGTATTGGGTGCATATATATTTAGGATAGTTAGCTCTTCTTGCTGAATTGATCCCTTTACCATTAGGTAATGGCCTTCTTTGTCCCTTTTGATCTTTGTTGGTTTAAAGTCTGTTTTATCAGAGACTAGGATTGAAACCCCTGCCTTTTATTGTTTACCATTTGCTTGGTAGATCTTCCTCCATCCTTTTATTTTGAGCCTATGTGTGTCTCTGCACGTGAGATGGGTTTCCTGAATACAGCACACTGATGGGTCTTGACTCTTTATCCAATTTGCCAGTCTGTGTCTTTTAATTGGAGCATTTAGTCCATTTACATTTAAAGGTAATATTGTTATGTGTGAATTTGATCCTGTCATTATGATGTTAGCTGGTTATTTTGCTCGTTAGTTGATGCAGTTTCTTCCTAGTCTCAATGGTCTTTACATTTTGGCATGATTTTGCAGTGGCTGGTAGCAGTTGTTCCTTTCCATGTTTAGCGCTTCCTTCAGGAGCTCTTTTAAGGCAGGGCTGGTGGTGACAAAATCTCTCAGCATTTGCTTATCTGTAAAGTATTTTATTTCTCTTTCACTTATGAAGCTTAATTTGGCTGGATATGAAATTCTGGGTTGAAAATTCTTTTCTTTAAGAATGTTGAATATTGGCCCCTACTTTCTTCTGGCTTGTAGGGTTTCTGCCGAGAGATCCGCTGTTAATCTGATGGGCTTCCCTTTGTAGGTAACCAGACCTTTCTCTCTGGCTGCCCTTAACATTTTTTCCTTCATTTCAACTTTGGTGAATCTGACAATTATGTGTCTTGGAGTTGCTCTTCTCGAGGAGTATCTTTGTGGTGTTCTCTGTATTTCCTGAATCTGAATGTTGGCCTGCCTTGCTAGATTGGGGAAGTTCTCCTGGATAATATCCTGCAGAGTGTTTTCCAACTTGGTTCCATTCTCCCTGTCACTTTCAGGTACACCGATCAGACGTAGATTTGGTCTTTTCACATAGTCCCATATTTCTTGGAGGCTTTGCTCATTTCTTTTTATTCTTTTTTCTGTAAACTTCCCTTCTCGCTTCATTTCATTCATTTCGTCTTCCATCGCTGATACCCTTTCTTCCAGTTGACCACATCAGCTCCTGGGGCTTCTGCATTGTTCACGTAGTTCTCGAGCCTTGGTTTTCAGCTCCATCAGCTCCTTTAAGCACTTCTCTGTATTGGTTATTCTAGTTATACATTCTTCTAAATTTTTTTCGAAGTTTTCAACTTCTTTGCCTTTGGTTTGAATGTCCTCCCGTAGCTCGGAGTAATTTGATCGTCTGAAGCCTTCTTCTCTCAGCTCGTCAAAGTCATTCTCCATCCAGCTTTGTTCCATTGCTGGTGAGGAGCTGCGTTCCTTTGGAGGAGGAGAGGTGCTCTGCTTTTTAGAGTTTCCAGTTTTTCTGCTCTGTTTTTTCCCATCTTTGTGGTTTTATCTACTTTTGGTCTTTGATGATGGTGATGTACAGATGGGTTTTTGGTGTGGATGTCCTTTCTGTTTGTTAGTTTTCCTTCTAACAGACAGGACCCTCAGCTGCAGGTCTGTTGGAATACCCGGCCATGTGAGGTGTCAGTCTGCCCCTGCTGGGGTGCCTCCCAGTTAGGCTGCTCGGGGATCAGGGGTCAGGGACCCACTTGAGGAGGCAGTCTGCCCGTTCTCAGATCTCCAGCTGCGTGCTGGGAGAACCACTGCTCTCTTCAAAGCTGTCAGACAGGGACATTTAAGTCTGTAGAGGTTACTGCTGTCTTTTTGTTTGTCTGTGCCCTGCCCCCAGTGGTGGAGCCTACAGAGGCAGGCAGGCCTCCTTGAGCTGTGGTGGGCTCCACCCAGTTTGAGCTTCCTGGCTGCTTTGTTTACCTAAGCAAGCCTGGGCAATGGCGGGCACCCCTCCCCCAGCCTCGCTGCTGCCTTGCAGTGTGATCTCAGACTGCTGTGCTAGCAATCAGCGAGACTCTGTGGGCATAGGACCCTCTGAGCCAGGTGCAGGATATAATCTCCTGGTGCGCCGTTTTTTAAGCTCGTCGGAAAAGCGCAGTATTCGGGTGGGAGTGACCCGATTTTCCAGGTGCCGCCTGTCACCCCTTTCTTTGACTAGGAAAGGGAACTCCCTGACCCCTTGCGCTTCCCGAGTGAGGCAATGCCTCGCCCTGCTTCGGCTCGCGCATGGTGCACACACCCACTGACCTGCACCCACTGTCTGGCACTCCCTAGTGAGATGAACCCGGTACCTCAGATGGAAATGCGGAAATCACCGGTCTTCTGCATCGCTCATGCTGGGAGCTGTAGACCGGAGCTGTTCCTATTTGGCTATCTTGGCTCCTCCCCGATTTTGTTTTTTTGGACTTACTCTAATTACCTATCAAAAATAGTGGCCTTCTAGCAATGATCCCTAAAGGAGCAAGATGCGGGGATGAGGTGCATATATTTGCCATTTTTTAAAGTCTCCACATTATGATGTAAATATTACTCATGGTAAAACTTCTTTCAAAATTCAATTTGAATTAATTACAGACAATATATCATTCATTCATAAAATATAAAATTAAACCATCTGCAAACCTGATGTTTTTATAGGTCAAAATTGGCTGAATATCTGTAATTTTTCATTAGTTCAGCCAAATAATAGTTTTTAAAACTCAGTTTATTGAGATATGTTACATACTATAAAATGTACTCATTTTAAGAATACAGTTCAAGGAAAAATGGACACGTTTGTGTAACTCCCACCACGATCAAGATATAAAACATTTCACCACCCAAAAAATGTGCTTGGGTCCCTTTCCAGTGAGCTTTTACTTCCCCTCCCTTGCTCTAGGCAATCACTGATTTATTTTTCAATCATTATAAACTAATTTGTCATTGTTATAATTCACAAATTGAATAATAAAGTATGTACTTTGGGTGTTTAGCTCCTTTTATTCAGAATAATATGTTTGACATTCATCCACATTGTTTTATTCATCAGTATTTTAGCATTTCATTCTTTTATTAATTGCTGAGTGGTATTGAATTGTAGGAATATGCCACAATTTTTTTTACCCACTAACTTATTGATAGTCCTCTGGCTGCTTTTAACTTTGGTCTGTTACAAAGCTGCTTGTGTACAACCTTTGTGTAAATATGGATTTTCACGTCCGTTGGGTAAATACCTAGGAGTGGAATTGCTGGGTCATATTTAACTTCTTAAGAAACTGTCAAACTATTTTTCAAAGTGTACCATTTCACCTTCCTATCAGTAATGTATGAGAATTACATGTGCTCTATATTCTCTGCCACGTTCGATAAAAACACTTTTAAATTTTAACCCTTCTCATGAGTGTATTGTGGCATCTCACTGTGGTTTTAATTTGTATTTTCTGATAATTCCAGAATGTTCAGTACCTTTTGATGTGTTTACTGGCCATTCACCAGCCTTCTTTTGTAAAGATTTTGAGCACTTTTTCTAACTCCTAATTAAATTGCTTGTGTTATTATTATAACTTCTTTATATATTTCATAAAGGAGTACTTGGACAATATATAGATTGAAATGTTTTCCTCCAATCTGTAACTGGTCTTTCCCCCTTTTTAAATGGTGTCTTCCAAACAACAGGAGTTCCTAATGTTGATAGAGTCTAATATATCAATTTTTCCTTTTAGGATTCATGCTTTTTTATGTTCAAAAAAATATTTGCAGAGCACAAGTTCACAAAAATATTCTCCTTAGTTTTCTTCTAGATTTACATGGTTTTTGCTTTATTTTTAGGTCTATGATTCATTTGAATTTTTTTTTGTTATGGTATAAAGTAAAGGTTGAGGTCCATTTTTATTCCATATAGATATCAAGTTATTCTAGCATCATTTGGTGAAAAGACTATCCTTTTCCATTAAATAACTTTTGGCTTGTTTGTTAAAGATCAATGAGCCATATATTTGTGGGTCTATTTCTGGACCTTTTTTATTTTGTTCCATTGATTTATAAGTTTATCATTAAGCCAATATCACACTGTATTTTAATAACTGTTGCTCTATGCTGAGTCTTGAATTCAGATAGTAGAATTCCTACAACTTTGTTTATTGTTTTCAAAATTGTTTGATTTCTCTAGGTTATTTATTTATATTTCTATATAAATTTCACAGTGAGTTTGTCAAATCCTACTCTCTCTCCCAAAAATAGAAAGCCTTCCAGTAGTTTAACTGGAGTTATATTGAACCTATTGGTCAATTCGTGAAGAACTAACATCTTAGCAGTATTGAATTTACCAGTCCATGAAAATGATATATGTCTCCCTAAAGGGAGGTATTTAATGTCTCTCAGTGATGTTTTCTGCTTTTTTGTTTTTTTAAGGGGGCAGAGGTTGTTTGTTAGATCTGGAATTTACAATTATGCCTTACTTAAAAACAGGGATATGTTCTGAGAAATGCATTGTTAGGAAATTTTGTTGTTGTGTCAATATCATAGAGTGTATCTACACAAACCCAAAGAATGTAGCCCAATACACACCTAAGTTATATGGTATAGTCTATTGGTTCTAGGCTACAAACCCATACAGTATGTTACTGTACTGAACACTGTAGGCCATTGTAACACAATAGTAACTATTTGTGTATCTAAATGTAGAAACATATCTAAACATAGAAAAGGTACAGTAAAAATACAGTATAAAAGAAAAAAATGGAACACCTGCCTAGGGCACTTACCATGAATAGAGCTTGCAGGACTGAAAGTTGATCTGGGTGAGTCAGTGAGTGGTGAGTAAAGGTCAAGGCCTAGAACATTACAGCACATTACTGTAGACTTTATAAACATGGTACACTTAGGCTATACTAAATTTATTTTAAAAATATAGTTGACCCTTGAACAACAAAAGTTTGAACAGTCTTGGTCCACTTATATGTGATTTTTTTTCAATATATATATTTTAAAATGTTTTGGGGACTTGTGACAATTTGAAAAATCTCACAGATAAACTGCATAGCCTAGAAATATCAAAAAAAAATTTAAATGCCAGGCATGGTGGCTCACACTTGTAATCCCAGTGCTTTGGGAGACCGAGGCAGGTGGATCACGAGGTCAGGAGTTCGAGATCAGCCTGGCCAACATGATGAAACTCTGTCTGTACTAAAAATGCAAAAATTAGCCAGGTGGGGTGGTGGGTGGCTGTAATCCCAGCTACTCGGGAGGCTGAGGCAGGAGAATTGCTTGAACCCGGCAAGCGGAGTTGGCAGTGAGCCGAGATGGTGCCACTGAACTCCAGCCTGGGTGACAGAGCAAGACTCCATCTGGAGAAAAAATAATAATAAAAAATGTAAGTCATGAGTACATAGAATATATGTAGATGTTAATCTATTTTGTAATTTACTTCCATAAAATACATACAAATCTATTATAAAATGTTAAAATTTATCAAAACTTATATACACAAACACAGACTGTATATGGCGCCATTTGCAGTTGAGAGAAATGTAAAAAACGTAAAGATGCCATATTAAATCATAACAGTGGAAAGTTATCTGTAGCACATACTGTACTATTGTAATAACTTTCTAGCTATCTCCTGTTGCTATTGCAGTAAGCTCGAGTGTTGCAAGTATCCTCCTAAAAGTCTATGATGCTAATCATTTCTGCAGTTTGTCTTTCCAGTAAATTACATATTGCAGTAAAAACTGAGCTCTCAAAGTTCTAACATTTCTTTCATCGTAGCTAATGCAATACCATAAACTTTGAATAACACCATGGGACCCGTACAAAGTGCCACTAGTGATGCTGAAAGTGTTCCTAAGAAACAGAGAAAAGTTATGACATTACAAGAAAAAGTTGAATTGCTTCAAATGTACCATAGATCGAGGTCTGCAGCTGCAGTTGTCTGACAATTCAGAAAGACGATTCATTTTGTAAACAGATGATGTAAATTTATGGTATCAAAAAATATAGTACAGTACTATAAATGTATTTTCTCTTCCTCATGATTCCCTTAATAACAAAATGTTATGACTTTATTACAAGAATACGGTATATAATACATATAACATACAATACATATGTGTTCATCAATAAGGTTTCTGATCAGCAGTAGGCTCTTAGTTAAGTTTGGGGAGAATCAAAAGTTATATGAGAATTTTCAACTACTCGAGGGTCAACACCCCTAACCCTCTTATTCAAAGGTCAGCTGTAATTGTACTACAAGGTCACTGGGCAATAGGAATTTTTCAGCTCCATTATAATTGTATGGGACCACCATTCCATAAGCCATTTGTTTTTTGGCCAAAACATTGTTATGCAGAGAATGACTGTATTGTATTAAATTATCACTAAGTTCATGTTTTTTCATGTCATTGAAACTGTTACTTTCTTAATAAATTTTCCAAATTTTTTTGCTAGTAGTTAGAAGTAATATTTTAAAATTGGGTCTGTGATCTCGTTAAATTTTCTTATTATTTCTAGTAGCTTTTTCAAAGGTTCCTAAGGATTTTCTACATACAAGACCATGTAATCTGCTACTAAAGTCACTTTTACTTCATCCTTTCCATTGCATATTCGTGCTATTTCTTTTTCTTGCTGTATTGCACTGATTAGGACAATGTTAAATAGAAGTCATGAGAGACAGCATCCATGATTTGTGCCCAACCTTAGGAAATAAATAATCAATCATTAATCATTTGCTATGATGCTAATAGTAGTTTTTGTACAGGCACACTTTATTGCATTGAAGAAGTTCCTTTCTATTTCTAATTTACTTAAAAATGTTTCTCGAATGGGTGTTAAATTTTTTTTTCTGCATCTCTGACATAATCTTCTTTAGTGAATTGCATTAACTCAATTATTGATTACTATTTATTTATTTTTTTGAGATGGAGCCTCTCTCTGTCACGCAGGCTGGAGTGCAGTGGCGCGATTTTGGCTCACTGCAACCTCCGCCTCCCAGGTTCAAACAATTCTCCTGCCTCAACCTCCCAAATAGCTGGAATTACAGGTGTGTGCCACCACACCCTGCGAAGTTTTTGTATTTTTTGTAGAGATGGGGTTCCAACGTGTTAGCTAGCATGGTCTCAATCTCCTGACCTCGTGATCCACCCTGCCTCGGCCTCCCAAAGTGCTGGGATTACAGTCAATGATTGATTTCTAATGTTAAACCCACTTTGCTTCTGGAATAAACATTAGTTATTCAATTACAACCTCAGAATGTCTTGGGACTCAACTAACATTTCCTTATTCACGCAGCTCCTCGTCTGGTCTACATTGATCCTTGCCTCAAGAAATCATTCAAAATGAAGACTCACACTGTTTCTGCTATCTTGCCCTAAGAACTTTTCGGCCAAACCCATAAGCAAATTAAGCCCTAAATTAGTAGATAGAAATAAATAATAAAAATAAGAACAAAGTGAATGAGGATAGACTGAAATAAATTGAATATATTAAATTGAATTTATAATTTGAAACATTCCCATAAAGAAAATTCCAGGACCAGAGGATGTCACTAGTAAATTCCATCAAATATTTATGGAAGACATAATAACAATGCTGTGTAAAATCTTTCAGAAAATAGAAGAGGAAGGTTCACTTCTCAACTCTTCTCTAAGCCTAGAATTATACTATTAAGAAAATCAGACAAAGATATTCCATGGAAAGAAAACTGAAGACCAAAATCCCATATGCACACAGATGCAAAAAATTCCAAATTAAATATTTAAAAATAAATTTCATCCATATAAAAGAAAGTAAAATATGATCATGGTTTTTTTTAAGGAGAACTTATATTAATACCTTGGGGATGGAAGCAGAGCAGGAGGATGTGTCAGGATGGAGTGCTGGAGAGAATTCAGCTTATAACACAGGAAAGGGAAGAAGGTCTGGAGAGATTGAGAAATGAGAGAAGTTGACAGCTGGGTGGGAGGGAAGTATTCTAAGTAGGAAGAGTCAGAGTGGGACATAAGAAGTTGCCAGGTTTTAGGTGGAATCAGAAGGCCTTAAGTGTTTCCACATTTTTCATTAACATTGAAAACAGACTTTTTTCTTTTTTCTTTTTTTTCTTTTCTTTTTTTTTTTTTTTTTTTGAGACTGAGCTTTACTCTTATCGCCCAGGCTGGAGTGCAATGGCATGATCTTGGCTCACTGCAACCTCTGCCTCCTGGATTCAAGTGATTCTCCTGCCTCAGCCTCCTGAGTAGCTGAGATTACAGGTGCCTGCCCCCACATCCAGCTACTTTTTGTGTTTTTAGTAGAGACGGGGTTTCACCATGTTGGCCAGGCTGGTGTCGAACTCCTGACCTCAGGTGACCCACCCGCCTCAGCCTCCCAAAGTGCTGGGATTACTGGCACGAGCCACCACACCCGGCAGAAAAAAAGAATTTCTTTAATGAAGCTATTCTGATGTCAGAATTTTGGTTAGAATCTTCTTACTAAAAAAAGGACAAACTAGAAAAAGACAAACCCTTGAATATTTTATTTGAATTATCCTTGAATTACCTTGGAATTGACAGTGAATAAATTATCTTGCTCCTTTGCTCCAAGTTATCTTTAAGATGAACAATTTTTAATTGTATCAAAAATTCACCCAGTGGCCACTTACCTCCCAAATTATCTTTAGTGAAATTGTATCATTTGTTAAGATATGCACAAGAATTTAGGTTGTAATGATGTCATCAGGGAAACATGTCTGGCCTAGGAGGCATTAATATGGCAGGAGACAACCCCACCAGAATTAAAAGATCAGTCACATGTGTTATTTTTACACCTCTTGTCACAGGCCCCCAACCAGAATTCAGCCATCTCTGATGACAGACCTGACGATTTTCAGCCTCCATTTTGGAAATTTCGCCTCGCAAAACTCTCAGGAACACAAACACAAAAGGAAAAAAATAGAACATGTAAGGTTTCCAGATGGTGACCCAAAGCAAAATTTATCTATTGGGAGACATTGGCCTGACAAGATCTCAAAATTGTCAGTTGTCAGAGCCTACATTAAGAAATAGTGACTGGTGTTCACATCACTGATTTTAGATTGGGACCAAACTAAAGGGGCTTCTAAGAGTCTTCCCGTTCGTTTATCGTTGATGTAATGATGCTGCTATAAGTAATGTGCTCAGCACACCTATGTAAGCTGGGTTTTAGGGTTGGACTAAAGCAGAATTGGTAAACCTATGGCACTCCTTGTTGACACTACCCTTTTCCTTGCCTATGGCATGCATTGCTAATCAATCACAGTAACATTTTTTCCTGCTCTGCACAGTGTTCCTGGTAGCCCCTATCAATAGATCATATTGCTGCATTGAGCATTTACTATGTGTCAGACTCTCTTCTTAAGCACTTCATAGGAATTAACTCATGTAATCTACACATCAATGCTTTTTATAGATTATATAAACCTCACAAGGTCGCAGAGCTAGTAAAGGACAAGTCTAGGATTCAATCCCTTGCAGTCTGGCTAAAGCCCCACTGTGCTTTCAGACATGTGATCAGAGTTTGCTTGTGAGCTGTAACTATAGCTGATAGTCATCAGTGTGTTTTGCAAAATGGTTGTTAAAATATTGAAAAACTTATGTGTTGGCCGGGCGCGGTGGCTCACACCTGTAATCCCAGCACTTTGGGAGGCCGAGGCGGGCGGATCACGAGGTCAGGAGATCGAGACCATGGTGAAACCCCGTCTCTACTAAAAATACAAAAAATTAGCCGGGCGCAGTGGCGGGCGCCTGTAGTCCCAGCTACTCGGGAGGCTGAGGCAGGAGAATGGCGTGAACCCGGAAGGCGGAGCTTGCAGTGAGCGGAGATCGCGCCACAGCCCTCCCGCCTGGGCGACAGAATGAGACTCCGTCTCAAAAAAAAAAAGAACAGGATAACAGCGATTTTCAGGGAACAAGGGAGATAACCTTAAAGTCTGGCTGCCTGTGGGCCAGGCAGGACAGAGCCATATTTCTCTTATTACCGAAAATGGGTAAGAAAAATATCGCTGAAATCTTTCCCTGGTAAGGAATATTAATAATTAACAGCCCTGGAAAAAGAATGCGTTCCCGGGGGAGGGGGGCCTTTAAAATGGCCGCTCTGGGGGTGTCTGCCTTATGCAGTTGCAGATAAAGGATGAAACATGCCCCGGCCGCCTGCAGCGCCCCCAGGCTTGCTAGGATTAGGAAATTCCAGCCTGGTGAATTCTAGTCAGACCAGTTCTCTGCTCTTGAACCCTGTTAAGATGTTTATCAATGACAATGCCTGCACAGCGGAACATGGAAGCTCATTAGTGATTCTAGTTTTGCCCTGACCTTGGGATCCCGCCCTGACCTTCTGCCTTGTGATCTTTTGTTGCCCTTGAAGCATGTGATCTCTGTGACCCACACCCTATTCGTACACTCCCTCCCCTTTGAAAATTGCTAATAAAAACTTGCTGGTTTTGCAGCTCAGGGGCATCACGGAACCTGCTGACATGTGATGTCTCCCCCCGACACCCAGCTTTAAAATTTCTCTCTTTTGTATTCTTTCCCTTTATTTCTCAGACTGGCCAACACTTAGGGAAATAGAAAAGAACCTATGTTGAAATATCGGGGATGGGTTCCCCTGACACTTATGTAAAATATTGATGAAAAATAAACCTATACTGCCTTAGCCTGTCTCCTTCCTTGGGACCTCTTTTTCTAACTCAGCAGTGAAGGGTTAATGCCCAACATAGTTGGGGGCTTTCAGAAGCTAGCTCCAGAACCAAGGCTGGGCTCATTTCTGATTGGTCAGTGTTGATCGTTGCCCATGGCAAGAGTCATTAGACATGGAATTATGAATATCACCTCTGGATGTGACCCTTTTAGATCTTGGCTCCAGGAATATACAATATCAATATTATTTACATTGAATAAGGTTTGTGTTGTTTTACTGTTGTTTTGGTTGTCTTAGAGATAGGGTCTTGCTGTATTGTCTAGACTGGGGTGTAGTGGCATAATCATAGCTCACAGCAGCATCAAACTCCTGGGCTCAAGCCATCCTCCCACCTCAGCCTCTCAAGTAGCTGGGACTAAAGGCACATGCCACCATGGCCAGCTAATTTTGTTTATTTTCTGTACAGATGAGGTCTCACTATGTTGCCTAGGCTAGTCTCAAACTCGAACTCCTGAACTCAAGTAATCCTCCCACCTCAGCCTCCCAAAGTCCTGAGATTACAGGTGCGAGCCACAGTGCTTGGCCCTGGTTGATTTTTTTTTTTTTTTTTTTTGAGACAGAGTCTCACTGTCTCCCAGGCTGGAGTGCAGTGGCACGATCTCGGCTCACTGCAAGCTCCGCCTCCCGGGTTCACACCATTCTCCTGCCTCAGCCTCCTGAGTAGCTGGGACTACAGGTGCCTGCCACCACACCCAGCTAATTTTTTGTATTTTTAGTAGAGATGGGTTTTCACCATGTTAGCCAGGATGGTCTCAATCTCCTGACCTTGTGATCCACCTGCCTCGGCCTCCCAAAGTGCTGGGATTACAGGCATAAGCCACCCTTCCCGGCTGATTTTTGTATTTTTTATAGAGACAGGGTCTCACCATGTTCCCCAGCTGGTCTTAAACTACTGGACTCAAGCAATCCTTCTGCCTCTATATCAAATAGTCTTTTAAATAACATTAAATCACATTTCATACTATAATAAATAAAGCCATATTAAAATATGGAAAAATACTTTAATGAACTCTTTTTTCTAATGAACTATTACTGTGTTTTTCTGAACCCCTCTTTCATCATTAGCTGAGGCCAGTTTTCCATGGATGATATCATGCTGATATTTCTTTCCTATTCACTTCTCAAGAGTTATAACATTAGGTCTTTCTGCTTATTTTTTTTAAGACCAACTATCTGATTCCAAATTCCTCAGTGGGATGAAATCTCACTTTTAGGACTCTTATTTCTGGTGCAGACCTCCTTGTTTAGAACAATTTCCCCATCCGCCTCTGAGCTGTGTCTTGTTGCTTGCCAGAAGCCGCTGGGCATCTAAGATGTGTGAGCACTAGAGCCTCCTTGCACAGAGCTGGTGGGTCACTGAAGGCTGGCCTCACCACAGCCCCCAGAAGGTGAGTTTTGTCCTAGGGGTAAGTATTACAGTTCCCTCTGCTCTTGTTTATCTCCACAAACACCCAAATCTGCTTCTGTTCCAAGACTGTTTCATTCCAGACTGATTTTCTTTTGTATTTGAATGACCACCAGCATTTTCCCCCCTTGAACTCTGGCTGCTGATCCATTCTTTGTCTTAATTCCTCTATTCCTCTCTCTGCTGCAGTTCTCATCACTGACATAGCCAGGCCATTACTCTGTTTTTGCCAAGCCCTGTGGGGCAGAGCTGGCATTTTCTGAGCTAATTTCTTCTGAGATGTAATTGAGATACTGTAAAGCCTCCACAGAGTTCAGTTAAACTCCTCAAATGGAATCTGGGCAGACAGCTTGGTAAATTGAATTTTAGAAGAGCCAAGCTCATTTTGACATTAAAGAAACACTGTGATATGAAAAGGTAACAATTTAACAATAGTTAGCAAAACAAAAAAAAATTTCTATAAGGAATTGTTCTCTATTTACACCTGAAGAGTAAAGAGAAATGATCTTAAATTATAGCTATTCATTAGTGTTGGATAAAAGACAAACTTAGGAAAGAGAAACTTTAGAGTAAGAAATTGAGAACTGTCTTTAAGAAATTGAGAAGGTTTTAGAAGATTTGCAGTAGTTTTAGATGAGTCTATCTGGAGGAAGAGTACTGACCCGGGAGATGTCTTCCAAAAGGAAAACCAGTGTCAATGGTTCTAAATCAGAAGTCAGGATTATCATCACTCAGTAGAAGGAACAAAGTAGAAAGTAAACTCTATATCTAATGATAACCCTTACATCCTCCAGGGTGTGAATTTATTCCATTTCACCCAGAAATCTATAAAATTCTATAGATGTGTTACTTTATATTTTTGTAAGCTTGGAAGATAATTGTAATACACATTTTAATAGAAAAAGAGAAAAAATGAATTTTTTCTCTTGCCTCCAGGAAATTTGAAACATCCAACTTCTAGAAATCCTGTCTTCTATCCGTTTGTGAATACATACAAACATATATTCATTCCACCAGTGAACAAGTGTCTGATTTCTTACTGTGTGTAGACATTCTGGTCAGTTTGGGGGTAGACAGCAGAGTGTGGATCCTACTTTCGGTAGTGTAAGCACTGGGAAAGTGGTTTACAACAGTTGGCATTTATAAAGCAGAAAAATACTTGTGAGGTCATAGCTTTCCGACTGTAAGTCAGTTGTATTATTTCAAACTTTATATTTTCATTCTTTAAGGTGATTTGTATTCATTGTCTTTACTAAGTGTATTCATATTCTTTATTTCTACTGCCTTACATATTCCAGTGTAGGAAGAAAACATTAGAGAAAAGTATCACCTTTCCACT
The DNA here is from genome assembly GCF_000001405.40 of Homo sapiens. Classification (NCBI taxonomy): domain Eukaryota; kingdom Metazoa; phylum Chordata; class Mammalia; order Primates; family Hominidae; genus Homo; species Homo sapiens. Next base: position 29,798,690 of record NC_000012.12, on the reverse strand, counting down.
GTCTGTCTACTTAAAAACTTCATCATTGTTCTATTATGGGTTCGTTAAGAAGGAATTGGCTAGGAAAATGGAGTAGTTGCTAGTAATCGGCCCTTTTGGCTTAGTTGCCTCTCATTCTTTTTCAAAAACTTACGTGTGTGTGTGAAATGCCACACCTGTACGATGTGCATAAAACATAATTGTATAGCATGATGACAAATTCTACATTTTTTCCTTTTTCCAGACAATTCAATGATCTCAGAACACCTCAAGCCTACGTGTCTTCTTTTAATTTACATACTACTGTTGTCCTAAATCTTGCTCTTTTTCTAAAAATACTTCATCAAAAGATGATTTACATGCCATAAAATGCATCCTTTTAAAGTGTACAAGTCAATGGATTTTAGTGTTCTCATAGCATTGTGCAAATATCACCACAATCTAATTTTAAAACACTTCCATCACTCTGAAAAGAAATCCTTTGCTTTTTAACAGTCACCAGCCTCTCTCCTGCCTAGCCCCTGGGAACTGGTAATTTACTTTCTGTCACTACAGATTTGCAAGCAGGGAATTTCCCACTAGATTTAATCATATATTACCATATTTACCACTTACGTTGCATTCTATTACTTCCTCCATTGCTGTGCCTTTCATCACAAATCCTTTTCATTCTATTGGAAGACCACTTTTACAATTTCCTTTAGTACCGGTCTTCTGGTGATAAACTCTTTCCATTTTTTTTACTAAAAGTGTTTCTTTCACATTTGTTAAGATGGTCAAGATCCCTAGAAGCTGAGTTGCAATTGGTGGGAGTGGTGACCAACTTCTAATCCCTCTTCACTTCTAATGCCATTCTTCAGGGCCCCACTCCTATGTACAGGATGGATTACCAGGGTCCCCACACCCTGTGGGCCCTGCTCTCCTTGGAGACTCTCAGTGTTCTCTGCTTAGCCTCTCACTCCTCCCCAGCACAGAAGGGGCCCCAAATTCTGGGCTTGTCCTTTCTCTTTCCCTGGCCTGACACTTCTCTGTTCTTAATGATCTGATGTTATGAGGCAAATAGTGTTGTTGTTTAATCTGGTTTTCTATGGATCTTTAGAGGGAAGGTTAATTGGAATGACCTAGTCTCCCCATGACAGGGAGGAAAAGTCCCTCTCACTCGTTCTGTGCCCAGAACCTTCCTATTTTCTCCAGAGTTAGTACTACAAAGACAACATTTCACTATCACCTACCTTAGTGACTTACTACAAATGGAGCAAAAGAGATTTATCTTCAACCTTGCAACTTTAAAGGAAAAAAAAAAAACAGATTCCCTTGAAAATCCTAGAAAAAGGCTATCTTTGGAAAAATATGTCTTTATTACAGCTTCCTAGTTTTTTGCTAGTTCGTTTTCACCATACGCTCAGCTTCACAATTTTTTTTTAAATGTTAAGCAGATTGAAAAAGGGGATAAACATAAAATAGCTGGATAACTTTGCGAGTAACCGTGGGGAAGTATGAAAATTGTTTATGAAGTAATCATTAAACACTTAAGCCATGAGATGATGAAGATTAACGTTTTGGAAAGAAAAGTTATTAAAGTTTCTTTGAGAAGCAACTTGATCCTGGCAGCCAAATTAGAAACAACAGAGCAGCTGTGTGACTCATTGGCCAGAATTCCTTACGCATTCTCTGGCACCAGGAATTGAGAAGGTTTATAGTCTCAATCCTGCAACTGCAATGAGGCAATCGTGAGTAAAATAAACTGTGGTTGTCCAGAGTAAATGCAGGTTAGGCTGATAACCACATTCTCCTTCAAAGTAAATCAATAAATCAATCAGTAGTCAGGAATTGAAAAGCAGATATTTAATAGTCGCTTAGTAGTAGTTATTCCATGTTACTACAATGGCGAGAAATGGCAGTAGTGAGAAAATTGCTAAGGGAAAAAAGAGAGAAAAATCTTCATCATCACCATCACAATATTTTATCTTAGCTAACGTGTTGAGCACACCTTGCTATGGCACTCTTCAAAGCTCTTGACTTACCTCTTTTAATCTTCACAACTGCCCTCTGGGGTTTGTTCACAGTTTAGAAAACTGGAACCCAGTCTAGCAATGATTGGGAGTGAAAGGCCCAATTCTCTGTACATATCTTGACCAGAAACCATGTAAAGTAAAATAATTCATTCAGGAACTGGTGTGAATAGTTGGAGAATCAAAATTCTGCTAATGTTAGGAAACACAGATTCAATGAAATCTTCCTATCCATAAACAATTTATTTTCAATTTGGAGGCAAATATAACACACAAAACCCCTAATATTGGGTTTAGTGGTGATAAATTATAGCTAAAACTATATTAATTATCGGGGCCCTTATTTTTGCCTATATTTGTTTAAAATGGCTCTCAGGCATATTTTTCATGGATTTCTCACACTTTTAGGCATCAGTATTCATAGAAATACTCTAATATGGCCATATAAGCCTTGTATGGTAATTTTCAATTATCTGGTACTATATTTGCAGAATAGTAAAAATTCTTATAGAAACTTCCTTAAAAGAATCTCAAAGTACAAAAGATGTAATCTTCTTAGTCCTCCTTAAAAATTTATTGGTAATACATTTATTCAAATGGAAGTGATAAAATCTAAAGCTATGGAAACACTTTGTAAGTGCTAGACTTTCATTTATGTGGAAGATGCATTATTATGTTTTAGGACCCGTGCCTCCTTGCAGCCATCTTCCACTGGCTCAGGGACTGTAAAGGGGTTTCCACTCACAGGCCAACCTATTAACAGAGAGTGGCAGTCTGGGAGGCAGTGTTGAGAGCGGTTTTAAGGTTGCATCTGGAGTTAATGTGCAAAACTATCACAATTGGTTAGTCATGTTTTTTATGTGCACAGAGAGTAAGCGGGTTTATGGCATGTTGTATGGGTTTGCTATCACTGTCACTCCTGATAGCACCTTTTGGGAGCTGTTATCTGAATTTTGGGCCAAGTGTGAAGGGAACAGATTAACATTTGAATGTTTCCGTAAATACAAGTAGGTAGCAATGACAGCATTGTCAGGTAACTCCTTTTCTTAGAAGTAGGTGTAATGCTAATTGTCTGAAAAAAAAGTTGTCAGATGAATAAAATGGATTCCTAATCTCTTAAACTACATAATGGAGAAAGAATGAAATCACTGAGCAAATGTGAGATGAAAGAGACAGAGGATGTGAAAGAAACTGTGAAGCCAGAATCTGCTTCTACTTTGTCTTCTGTCTAACTGGAAAGACCACAATATTCAGCTCTTAGCCAAGATGTGCAAAAACTTAAAATTATTTAAAAACAACAATGGCTACAACAAAAACCTGGCTGCCTCATTTACAGTAACATGGCCAAAAAGAAAATCTAAAAGACATTTTAGAAGAATTTTTTTGTAAGGTACTGCGGAGCCTGAAAAGATTCATTCGTATTCCTTTACATTAACTCACACATGGAAAAATAGTCCAAGAAATAAGACTTAGCAGCACAGCTAGGAAAGATGGGAGATTGTAATTTCTCAAGGGAAATTATCTGTCTCTAGATATAATCTTTATTTCTTGGCAAAGAAAAACTAGCATGGTAGATTTCCCAACTTCTTTAATAACATAAGATGCAAGCCATGTCATTGACTTATGGCAAGTATTTTATTAGGTCCTGGGTGCCCTGAGCCCATTAATTTTGGCTGCCCCAAGGCCATTGTTTGCCAGGAGTATTTAAACTAGCTGGAGAGAATTATATGAATAGGATTGCCTGTCAAAACAGGCCTGGCTTCATGGGTGTGCAACTTTTGTAGTCATACAGAACCCTGTACTTAGATGAACTCAGTGTATAGAAGGACTTCACTTTTGGTTTGATGTGCCACTGTCACCATCCTGAAATTCTTAATAACTTTAGAACAAAGGGTCCTTCATTTTCATTTTACATTGGGCCCTACAATTTATGTAGCTAAACCTGCTAAGAATTGGGGTTGGGGCACAGTGGACCTCAACACCATCAGTGAGGTGGTGAATTCCTCAACAAAATCATTTTTGTAATTCAATACAATGCAAGTAAGTATGACCCATTAAATAGAACACATTAAAACAAAGTATTACTGTACAATATGGCAGAGAAAACACTTAATACTGATGACTGTAATAAATATTTTATATAGACTAACCAGAATTTTACATTTTCCTCATTATTTGTTCTCTTTTCTAAAACAGCCATCAGTATTGAGCTTCGTCATCTACAAACTAGCAATTACGTGTGAGTTCTTGATGTTAACTCCCCAGCAGTTCTCCTGCAGTGGCTCTAGGTTTTTGAGGGCTTGCTACTTACTTACATGTTTTTTGGTTTTATTTGTTTGCTCTTGGAGCCTTTTCTTGAAACTTTAAATAGAAGAAAAAAGAGAGCTTAACATAACATTTTTAAAGGTACCTATTGCTCTTCTTGTATTCTTCTTGAGGGGTGGCTGAGCGTGTGTAGCGTGCATGTGGTATGCATGTGGTAACATGTAGTATGCATGCTCATGAATGTTGCACACATGTTGCATGCATGCAGCATGCATGTTCTGGCAAGTCACGTGCATGATGTACAACCGTGGTATGCATATTGTCTGCATGCCTACTCATGAACACATACTGTATGCCTGTAGTATGCATGTTGTATGAATGTTGCACACACCTCACAGAAAGTGGCATGTACGTAGCATGTTGCATGCATGTTATGCGCAAGTAGTGTGCATGTTGAATGCATACTGAATGTGTGTAGCATGAATGCTGTATGCATGTAGCTTGCATGTAGAATAAATGTCCAATGCATGTGCCATGCATGTTGTAGTGTGTAGCATGCTTGTTGCAACTATAGTAAGCATGTAGCATACATGTAGACTGCATATTGTAGCATGCAATGCACATGTTGCAAGAATGTAGTACACATGTTGCACACATGATGCTTGCATAGTGTAGCATGTAGTGCACACGTTACAAGCATGTAGCTTACATGTGCCATGTAGTGCGCACATATCACGAATTCAGCAAACATGCTGTACACATGTCGCTACATGTATGTTGGGACATGCAGCACACATGTTTCAAAGTGCACATGTTGCAGTGTGTATTGTGCATGCTGCATGCATGTTTCACACATGTAGCTTGCATGTTGCAGTATGCAGCAAGCATGTTAAAAGCATGTAGGTTCCATGTGACATATAGTGCACATATTGCAATCATGTAGCTTGCCTGTTGTGGCATGCCACACCCATGTTCTCCTTGTGCAGCATGCAGGCCACACACATGCAGAAAACATGTTCTACACATGTGGCATGTGTGTCACATGCATGTAGCGTGCATGTTTTAGCAAGTAGTGTGCATGTTAAAAGCATGTAGTACACATGTGGCATGCAGCACACGTTACATCCATGCTACAAGAATGTATGCATGTAGCTTGCATGCTGTAGCATGTAGTGTGCAAGTTACAAAAATATAGCTTAGTTGTTGTGGCATGCAGTGTGCATTTATTATTAATGTGGCACATATGCCATGCGGATGTCGCAGCACATAATATGCATGCTGCACGCATGTTATACACATGTTACAGCGTGTAATGTCTGTGTTGCATGCATGCATGCTTCACACATGTTTCAACATGTGGCTTTCATGTAGTATGCAGTGCACATGTTACAAGCATATAGGTTGTATGTTGTGGCATGTTGCAGGCATGTGGCTCGCATGTTGTGGCATGTTGCGAGCATGCAGCTTGCATGTGGCGTGAAGTACACATGTACTACATGTGTAGCATGTAAGCTCAATGCATGTACAATACAGGCCCTACACATGTGGCAACGTGTGCCATGCATGTAGCTTACATGCTGCATCATGCAGTAAGCATGTTATAAGGCTGTAGTGTGCATGCTGCACGCATGTAGGTTGCATGTTGTAGCATGTACTGCACATTTCACAAAATCCAGTGGGCATGTTCTATGTGTGTAGCATGCATGCTCCAAAGAATGTAGAATGCATGTTCTAAGCATGCAGCAGGCATGTAGCTTGCATGTTGTAGCATGCAGCAAGCGTGTAGAATAGAGCTCTATGTTGTGCATATGTGACTTACATGTTGTGGCATGTGGTTTGCATGCTCTACACAGGCCACGACTTGTACCATACCCATTGTGCCCTACTTGCATCATGTAGTGTGCATGCTGCATGCATGCTTCACGCGTGTTGCAGCATGTTCTATGTGTGCTGTGAAAATGCGCACATGCTGCTCGCATGATGTATGCATGTAGCATGAATGTTTAACACATGCTGTACACACGTATGCATGTTCTATGCATCAGGATTGTATGCTGTACACATGTTCGCATGTTTTGCACATGTGGCTTGCTTGTATGCATGTGGCTTGCATGTTGTGCACATGTAGCATGCCAGTTCTATGCATGTAGTGTGTTGTACGCACGTTTTGCACCAGCAGGGATGTTGTGTGCATATTGTATCATGTAGTTTTCATGTTGCACACATGGGCATATATGCTTTACGCATGCAGTGGGCATACTGTTATGTTGTAAGCATGTACGTGTGTGGTATGCAGGCTGTGCACGTGTTGTTCACATGTAGCATGTTGTACATGTGTTCTGTGCATGTAGCAAATGTACACACGTTCTGTGCATGTATCATGCATGTTCTAAGCATGAGGTATGGGTGTTATGCCCATGTTATATGCATGCAGTATGCATTTTGCACGCATATTGTAGCATGTTTTTCACATGTAGGACTTATGTTTGACACATTTTGCATGCATGTACTATGGATGCTATATGCATGCAGCATTCATATAGTTGCATGCATGATGTATGCTGGTAACACACATGTATCGTGTGTAGTATACATGTAGCCTGCATGCAATATTCATGCATACAAGTTGTGCGCATGTTGTGTGCATGTTGAATATGTTGTGCGCATGTAGCATGAATGTTGCACATATGTTGTACACGTGTAGCATGCATGTTGTGCACATGTGGCATGCATGCATTAGGCATGTTGTGCGCATGTTTTGCATGTTGTGTTCATGTAGTATGCATGCTCTCTGTACGCATGTTGTGTGCATGCATTATTTATGTTATGCACATGTAGTTGCATGTTGTATGCATGCAGCAATCATGCTTTACGCATATAGCATGTATGTTGTGTGCATGCTGCACACTTGTACGGATGTAGTGTGAATGTGGTGCTCATGTAGCATGTATGTTGAAAGCATGTGCACATGTAGCATGCATGTAGCATGAATGCATGATGTATACACGTAGTGTGCATGTTTCATGTAGTATGCATGCAGCATGCATATATTTTGGGCGCATGTTGTGTGCATGTTGAATATATGTTTACACATGCATCCTGAATGTTTTACGAATGTAGACATGTAGTATGGATGTTGTTCCCATGTGCTATGCATGCATTAAGCATGTAGCATGCATGCTGTGTGCATGTAGCATGCATGTTGTACACGTGTTGTACACATGTCTGCATGCAGCATGCCTGTTTTGCGCATGTATGCATGTAGTGTGAATGTATATATGTAGCATGCATGTTGAGCACATGTTGTATGCATGTAGTATGGAATTTCTGCACATATAGCCTACGTGCATTATATATGATTGATGTATACATGTAGTGTGCATGTAACGTGTGTGGTATACATGTAGCATGTATGCGGTATGCATGCATACATGTTGTGCACATGTTGTATGCTTGTTGTATATATGTGCCATGTTGATTTGCTGCACTCATCAACTCATCACCTCGGTTTTAAGCAACACATGCATTAGGTATTTGTCCTAAAGCTATCTCTTCCCTTGCCCCCACCCCCTGACAGGCCCTGGTGTGTTATGTTCCCCTCCCTGTGTCCATGTGTTCTCATTGTTCAACTCCCACTTATGAGTGAGAACATGCGGTGTTTGGCTTTCTGTTCCTGTGTTAGTTTGCTGACATTGATGGTTTCCAGCTTCATCCATGTCCCTGAAAAAGACATGAACTCATTCTTTTTTATGACTGCATAGCATTCCATGGTGTATATGTGCCACATTTTCTATATCCAGTCTAACATTGATGAGCATTTGGGTTGGTTCCAAGTCTTTGTAAATAGTGCTACAATAAACATATTTATTTATTTATTGAGATGGAGTCTTGCTCTGTCACCCAGTCTGGATTGCAGTGGTGTGATCTCGGCTCACTGCAATCTCCACCTCCCAGGTTCAAGTAATTCTCCTGCCTTAGCCTTCTGAGTTGCAGCTGGGATTACAGGCATCCACCACCACTCCTGGCTAATTTTTCTATTTTTAGTACAGACAGGGTTTCTCCATGTTGGCCAGGCTGGTCTTGAACTCCTGACCATAGTGTTGGGATTATAGGCATGAGCCACCGCGCCCAGCTGGCAAAACCGATTTAATTACATATACGTGCATGAAAGTTCCCAAAGAATCGTTACTCAAGGAGGCAGTTAGAATTGAGGGCGTATATATCATCTTAGGCTAGACAAAGGAAAAGGGATTCACTTCTGGAGCATAGGGAGAATGTGAGGGCAGGGAGGTGAGGGCAGCATGGGGAGTGAGGAGAGGAAATGTATGGTAAATAAGGGTTGTTTAGTATGTTTGCTACACAGATAAGCATCCTGTCCAGTGCTAAGAGTTGTCTCTGGAGTAGTTCTTTTTCGAGCATGAGAGGAGATACCTTTAAAAATGGAAATTCACGGCCTGCTTTTAGACAGAAAATGGGGGCACCGAGAGTTAATTGCCTTCACCTCAAAACAATCCTGATGCCAAACTGGCATGTTTTGGGGAGACATATTCTGTTCCTCTTCCTACCTTTAGTCTCCAGTTCCCCAGAAGTCAGAACTAATGCTGTGTGGCTCAAGACTCCCACCATAAACCATAGCATTAGACTGTCCAGTGGCCCAAACTTCTAGGAAAACACACATGCCTATGAGGTAGGACATTCTAGGCAGGGGGCCTAGAGGTGATCTTCCAATTGCTGAGGCAAAGGTTGGACCTTTATTTCACTAAGGTTCTTTACTGCATAAATATAATGAGCACACCTCCCATTACTTATCACTCAAATTCAAAATTATAATACAAATAATGACCAAGCATATTTCATTTGATAATGTGCTGGAGTGAACTCACACTGATTCACAAAAATTAATTCTTACATTCTTAGGAATTTTGCAAGCCAGTTGTTAAACACAATTTTATACAAAATTAAATTATATAAACCATTTCTACAAATTAGATTTGAATGAGTATAATAAATGCTCAAAACTCATCATGTTTTAATTATTTCACCGTTAATATACTCTTGGTCTTATTTATACCTGCTGTATCTGTTTGGTAAAAATGCTGTAGAATAACGTTCTACTATATATCTCTTTCCATCTCTGTGTTCAGTGAGGTCACATTGGTTGCATGAAATCAAACATGGTGAAAATATTTTCACCATGGAAATCAGCAAATGCTATGAATCGGGATTTAAAATAAAATATTCTTTGAATTGGAGAAACATCTCTCTGCTCATTCAACTGTGACTAGAGCAGTTAGAGTATTTTATAGGCTATGACAACATTGGAATAAATGTCTGATACTTTATTTTGAAATATAAAGTACATCTAGAGCTCTTGATTCAAATGGAATGATTTTCTTAAAATATTTAACCCTTCGGGCCGGGTGCAGTGGCTCACGCTGGTAATCACAGCACTTTGGGAGGCCGAGGCGGGTGGATCACCTGAGGTCAGGAGTTCAAGACCAACATGGTGAAACCCCGTCTCTACTAAAATCAAAAATTAGCTGGGCGTGGTGGTGGGCGCCTGTAATCCCAGCTACTTGGGAAGCTGAGGCAGAAGAATCACTAGAACCTGGGAGGCGGAGGTTGCTGTGAGCTGAGATTGCGCCATTGCACTCCAGCCAGGGCGACAGAGCGAGACTTCATCTCACACACACACGCACACACACAAAGATTAACTCTTCATTCAAATGTCTTTGGTATAAGTCTGACTTTAATTTAAAATGTAAATTTATACAATGGCATTTTAGTGCTTCCTCTGACATTTCCTATAAGTTGTAGAGGTTGTATAAAACACTAAAAGTAGCTTTTTGATTTATGTATTCAAATGTAAAATAACATGTATGTTATTAAAATTACATTCAGATGAAAATAGTGTTCTTTTCTATTATACACAATAATTTCTAAGACTATGGATATTAGGTTTGCAATGTTGCAGCAGTTTTCAAAGCCAGAGATTCCACTCTTTGAAGAATTCTGGTAAATCCTTGATATTGATGTGGTTCAGGACATGCTGCCCCAAAATATGACACCTTTGACTTAGTGAATATTTTAAGCCAAAGGAATTCAAGAAATGGCAGGTGCAGGAAGGACTTTCTGATCTTCCTATGAAGCAGGTCATAAGACCTTCATGTGAGAGGTGCCCCTCCTATCTTCCAAGGAGATTGTCCTTATTTCCAAAGCTGCAGTGATTCCCAGATAAATATGAACAAACAGGCCTTGCTAAGGTTCCCCCAGTTTACAACTCTTAGTTCATACCCATTTTTATCCTATCATATTTTTCTATGTTTCTTTATTCTTCAGCAAACATACTTTGAAAACAATCAGGTTTAACTACTTCTTCGGGTCTTCAATTCCTTATGAAGTCTCCTGTGTCACGAAAAACTTATACTAAACGAATTTGTATGCATTTCTCTTGATCTGTCTTTTGTTACAGAGATCCAGCCAGGAACCAACAAAGGTAGGAAGAAAAGACAGTGTTCCTCTCCTGCAATATTTTGTATTGCAATGTACCTATGTATACTTTTATCTTGTAGTAATATACTGACAAAGTTTATTGCCTGAGTGCCAGAAAATGCAAGGTCACAAATAATTTTTGATACTCTTAAATTTTATTACCGTGCAGATGCCACAGAGAGACACTTTAGGGATGGAAGGAAAGACAGTTTACCTCCAGGGAGATCCCCTTTTTCCTCCTGGGGCTGCAGCCGGGCTGCCACTGTTGCTTCTGCTGCCACCAGTCTGGGCCCAGGTCTGGGCACAGCCCCAGGCTGTCCGACACCTGCCCTGTCAGGTGTTGGGCCAGCTTCTTAGAGCACATGTTGCCTGCTGTACCACAGGCCCATGGGTTGGGGGGTAATTTAAATTTTTTTGTTCTTCTTTCTACTTTTCTGTATTTTCTTCAAGAGCAGTAATATTTAAACAACTAGACAACAAAAATTTATGTTTTAATGTAAACTATAGTATCATTTCTTTTGTAAACGATATTATCACCTTTGTAATATTGCATTTGGCCATTTATATAGGTTATATTTGAATAAAGGACATCATTAGGCTGAAAAAAAGCACAGGGAGCAGTGTTAAAATAAAAAGATTATTCAACAATACTTGTTAAAGCATGGTAGAATTTATTCAGGACCATCATGATAGTTATAGGGACCACTGCAATGCGGTCCTTCAGTGGGGAAGACAGACTGGACTCAACTTCAAATACAGCAAGAACCCCCTACCCTTGATATCTGATCACTCTCTTGCCAAACTGACTTAGTAGTGTTCTTTGCTAAAACTGGATTTTACAAGGAAGTACAATGATGGTGCTAGGAAGTTTCAGAAGACTAACTAAAGTTTGGTCAAGCAAAGAATTGTTGTTAGCAGTAATTTGAAATTGGTTTTATTACAATAGCTTGCCCTTGATTTATTTTTAGTTGTGTCCTAATCTCTTTCAGAAATATGGTCCATCTTAATTTGCATGAGTGACTTAATCTATATGAGCCTCAGAGAGGTACTTCTACAATAATTCATGTTTTATTATAAATTGCTTTTGAGTGGACACAAGGCGTTTCAGGAGGTAGTATTGCGCTAATTATCAATCCTTTAAAAATAATTAGAGGCTAAGTAACAAGAATTAAATCTAACTTCCTTTTGGGCCCCTTTATTAGTCAAGATGGATGTTTTCCACTTTAAGAGAGAAGCAAATGGCTTGATGGGCTGGCATATCAATGTAAACCTCTCTCTGACATCAGTACTTCTATACTTTTCCTACCACACAGAGCAGTATTGAATCAGGAGGTGATGAGGCTGCAAAGAAACTAATTATTATTATTATTATTATTATTATTATTATTATTTTTAGAGATAGAGTCTCACACGGTCCCCAGGCTGGAGTGCAGTGGCGTGATCTTGGCTCACTGCAACCTCCACCTCCCAGGTTCAAGCCATTCTCCTGCCTTGGCCTCCCAAGTAGCTGGGACTACAGGCGCGTGCCACCACGCCTAGGTTATTTTTGTATTTTTAGTAGAGACAGGGTTTCACCATGTTGACCAGGATGGTCTCGATCTCCTGACCTGATCTGCCCACCTAGGCCTCCCAAAGTGCTGGGATTACAGGGGTGGGCCACCATGCCAGGCCCGAAGGAACTAATTTTTAAAAATATTCACTGATCAGTTGTCCTTGAGAAGACTTGAAGCATTTCACTATTTTAAGTCAATCTCAAATTTGTCATCTGAGCAAAATAGAATAAAGATGCCACTGAACCTAGAGGAAAGATTAGGTAACCAGGAATCCTACTTTCAGGTTTCCTTTATCTCTTCTTTTTATGATCTCTTTGGAGTCTCAGTCCCAAGTCCTGCACTACTCTCCATGGTCATGGAGCACTCTGATACTGTTTCCATCTAAAAAAGAAAACAACTCCGAGAAGAAGGGGGTAGCCAGAGCTCTTCCTTGGAAAAGGATGACTTAAGGATAATTTGAGGAAGGAAAAAAGACTTTCTTTCTATAAAAATCTACTATTAGAGGCCACTCTTTTCTTTTCTTTTTTGAGGCAGGGTCTCACTCTGTAGCCCAGGCCAGTCTTGAACTCCTGGCCTCAAGCAACGCTCCTGCCTTGGCCTCCCAAAGTGCTGGGATTGCGGGTGTGAGCCATTGCACCTGGCCTAGAGTCACTCTTTTGGGTTAAGACGTTCTCTCTAGAAAGCCTCCGTTAATTATAGGTAAGGATTGATACATTGACCTATTACCTCAACTATGATTTCAGCAAAGATAATTTCACTATCCCAATCAGCTGTTAACTTAGAAAGCTAGACTTTTATGGTGTTAACCACACACACATACAGACGCACACACACGAGCAGCTTTGGGTCTTCCAATCCTATACTTAGCACATTGTAGCACAAAGAATCTCCTTAATATATTTTTATTAAGTTAATAGGTGAATAGGAAAGGCTGTAGTGTGTTATACGGGGAAATAGACTCAGGTGTGTCTAGATATTAAAGTCGGTATATTAAGGTTACCAAGCGTGAAAGATTTTGATGGAAGAATGAAAACATCCATGTCCAGGACTTCCAGTTTCATTTCTCAGTCACTAATTTCAAGTCACCAAATAAACAAAGTGAAAATGGGTGAAACGTACTTTGAGTTACAATAAGTTTATCTTAATTCATTGACTTTTCAACTGCTCAGATGTCTTAAAATTTTTTAAAAAGTAAGTTGTTATAGTAAAGAGCCACACAAATACTCATAGCAGAGGAACAATTTCTGGATTATGTCGGTGAGCTTTTTAAGGGTTTGGGGAGGATGAGAATAAAAGGGTGACTTTTTATTTTCAGTTTTTCTATCTGGATGTGTCAAATTCCTGATAACTTCTAACACTCAGCAATGGAAATTTAGAAGGTGCCTGAAAGAACAAATAGAATTTTCAGACCTGGAGAAATTCTAGTAATCATCACTCTGGGACATATTATTAAAATTAGTATTTTAAAAAAGAAAACAATCTTTCAGAAAGACAGGAAGTTTAGGAGCCAAAGCCAGAGGCCCTAATACAAATCGCCCCCACCTCCCCATCCCCCCATCCCCACCTTCTTCCCCGCCCTGTTCAAACACGCCCACAGCCCAGGAAATAATGAGACCCAAGTGATCCAGCTAGATAGAAAAAGTAGTTTGCTTGGCATCTCCCAAATTATCTTGAGCAAACAATAAAATAAGAAATGTTTCAGAAGACAATTCGGCTCCCAGGCCCAAACCAAAACTCGAACCTGGTACTTTTTGTAAGTGCGGGCCAAGAAAGGGGCTGTAAAGTTAAAGAGCCGGTGGCGCCTCTGAACACACCCGGGCAGGGCGAGCAGGATGTCCTTGTCCAGGGAGACCCCTTCTCCTGGCTTTGAGGAAGGTGCTCCCTATCCCCGCGGGTTCCTCCGCCAAGCGGGACGCCGCGCCGGGCGGGTGAGAGAAAGCCCGGGCAGGAGAGCACAGAGCCGGCGACTGGACGCGAGCGCGGGGCGGGTGGAGAGCGTCTCTCCGGGCGCCGCTGCTGTTGTCCCGGGTGCTGAAAAGCCGGGAACTTCCCGGGAAGCAGCGGCACTTTTCTCCCTGGAAGGTGGGTGTGGGGGTTCCAGACTGCGCACCTGCTAAACCCTCCTGGGTCCCCCGGGAGGGGTCCGCCAGATGTGCCCCTTCCCAGCCCCATTCGGGGGAGAAGGATGGGGGCGGGGGCGTGGGGGTGAGCACAGCCGGACACCGCAAGTGGGAACCTGGGGTGTCCTTCCCCGCAGCTCCCGGGCAGCCGCGCGCCGCGAACCCCGGTCCACCTGCAAGCAAGGCGGGCCGGGGGCAGAGGGCGCCGGGCTGTGCGGGGGAACCGGCCCGCGTCCCGGGATTGGGGGGCGGTGGAAGAGAGAGCGAGCGGGCATGCGCAGTGGGGCGGAGGAGGTGGCGATGGCCGGGGGAGGCGGGGGGACTGCTGTTTATTTGCAGCTGGGCCAACTCCGCGGCGCAGGCGGCGGCGGAGCGCGGGGAGCTCGCGGCGGGTCCAGCTGCCGCAGCACCATGCCCGAGCCCCCCTCCGGGCAGACGCCGCGCGCCGCCGGGGCCCCGGTAGGGGAGGATGCCAGACGCCCGGGAGAGGCCAGGGCAGCAGCGGCGGCGGCGGCGCGATGGTGGTGACCACCTCTGCCCGAGGCGGCGGCGGGGACCGCACACCCTCCCGGCGGCGGGGCTGCGGGCTAGCGCCGGCCGGGGCCGCGGCGCTGCTGGCCGGGGCAAGCTGCCTGTGCTACGGCCGCTCCCTGCAGGGCGAGTTCGTGCACGACGACGTGTGGGCGATCGTGAACAACCCCGACGTGCGGCCCGGCGCCCCGCTCCGCTGGGGCATCTTCACCAACGACTTCTGGGGCAAGGGCATGGCCGAGAACACCAGCCACAAGTCCTACCGGCCGCTCTGCGTCCTCACCTTCAAGTGAGTCCCTCACCTCGCGCTAGCCGCCGCTGCCTCCTCTACCCTCCGCCCGTCCCTCGGACCGGGAGAAGTTGCGGGACTGACTTGGGGGCATTTCATTTTTGCCGCCCTTTCCCTCCACGCCTCCCTCCTCTCCAGGATGTGCATGGCACTTTGCTCCGGGATCCACTGCCCGGCTAATCTGGGCTCTCGGGGCGGTTCGGGAGGCGCCGGCTGGGGAGTTGGGATCGAGTTTCTCAACTGTCTGCCCTCTCAGCGGGCTTCTCTCTCGAGGCAGGGCTGGGAGCGGGCTGGTGAAACCGCCTCCGCACCCCTTCGCCTGCCGGATCGTGACCAAGTGGGACTAGCGCGGACCCAGAGGGTTCCGGAGGGGTGGCGGTGGTGGCGATGCTTCCAAGTAGAGAATTTCTCGGAGGCTGTTGGGCAGCTTTGCAGATGAGAAGTGTATCAGCCCCTTAAGGGTTTCGTTCAGATGAGACGAGGCGGGAGCCTTGAGCTGACAGGGCTGCGTGGGTTCAGGAGAGGGAGCAGAAAACTCTCCCGAGCCCCCCAGCCCCCGCCTTGCACCCTTGGCTGCTCCCAGAGGCTCTCCAATCTGCCAGACTTCTCTGGATCTAGACTTTAGAAGGTGCAGAGAGAGGTAACGCAGAGCCTAGGCTTCTCCAGGGACCCTGGGGCCCCAGCCGAAATAGTTTTTCTTTTACAACCTCGGAGTCATGATTCAGCGTTTCTGGTGTGAATAAGCGTAAAGGGAACCGAGAATATGCCAGGTTTTTGAGGGGTGGAGTATTTTCTTTAATTTGAAAAGAAGCCTAGCTTCTGAGGAAAGAAGAGAAGTGCTCATTTAAGGGAAATGCTATCTTACACAATCAGGAGCTTGACTCAACCCTTTATAATGTGGCTCAGCATTGAAGTTCATTTTAACGCGCCGGTCAAAACTGTTGAAATAATATTGGTGCGCTATTATCGGCGTTTTAAGCCTTTTTGCAACGGGTGTAATAGGAACCCGTGTTTATGGTAATGATTATTTGAGACTGGGTTGGCAGCTTGAAAAGCCTGCTCTGGATGAGAGGCTGAGGCCTCTTGACAGGTGTCTCTGATGACTCAGAAAAGGAAACCATAGCAATCGGCAACAATTCATGGGCTTTTGACTTACGTCTTCCACTGAAAGTTTAATGTTTTTAAGGAGAGTGAGAAAATTACATATTTGACTTTGAAGAGAATGTGTTATAGACATTTGTTCTCTTAGAAAGTTGTTCTCGTTTTCTACTGAAAGATAACCTTGGCTAACCTCGCTATTCAGTTTCCCAGATGTTTCTTAAAATCTCCTTGGGACAAATATAAATGTTTCACTTCTAGATTGACCTGCTTTTTCATTATTACAGTCAGGGTTGTTGGTTAATTTAGGATGTGCAAGTTCACAGCATGAGATGTGCTTGCTATCTTTGTAACAGCCATGGAGACCATCCTGGTCACAGGTCTGAGTATTTTTCAATTAAAAAGGGCAGAGTCAAATGCCTGTGCCTACTTGCTGGAGAGTAGGGAAGGGTGTTTTCACTTCTTGACTTTCTAGAAGGTTTTCTTCTTTTTTCTCTGTCTTTTCTCTTTTTTTCTTTTTTGGGATGGGATCTCACTCTGTCCTCCAGCCTGGAGTGCAGTGGCATGATTATTGCTCACTGTAGCCTGAAACTTCTGGGCATAAGCAATTCTCCTGCCTCAGCCTCCCAAGTAGCTGGAACTACTACTGGCACATGCCGTGCATCCAGATATATTTTAAAATTTTTTTTGTAGATATGGGGTCTTCCTATGTTGTCTAGGCTGGTGTTGAACTCCTGGGCTAAGCGATCTTTAAGCCTCAGCCTCCCAGTGTGCTGGACTTGTGGGCATGAGCTACTGTACCTCACCTAAAATGTTTTATTTTTCTTCATAATGGAGACAGCAGGCACATAAGGGAGGGGTGGAGGGAGTAGACAAAGAAGTAAGACCATTGATTAAGAGGAAAATTGGCTAGGAGTTGACAGAACAAGGGCAAAGGAGAGTTGGGGGATTCAGGAGGAAGAGAGCTGAGGGACTCTTGTGGTAATCATTGATTGTAACAAGCAGCTTGGTGTCTAAGAGGCATGGCTTGCTGTATATTATATGCTACTGCCTATGAAAGA
This sequence comes from Homo sapiens, assembly GCF_000001405.40. Lineage (NCBI taxonomy): Eukaryota > Metazoa > Chordata > Mammalia > Primates > Hominidae > Homo > Homo sapiens. The sequence continues at coordinate 29,781,290 of NC_000012.12, read as the reverse complement.
TACACTCTTTTTTTGAGAAGATTGAGTTGCAAATCTAGAAGAGAAACACAGCACTAATTGGAAAGAGATAACTGCCTCTTCAGAAAGAGAATGTTAAGTAGTCTTTCTGTCCTCACATGCATTGATTTAAATAAGACTGGACAGTTTTCTTTATATTCACCTGAGGTATAGCATGAAGCTGGAGGATATCAGTGATTTTAGAACCATACAACTCTACAGGATGGTACAAGGAAGGACAGAAAGCCGTATTTATTAACTATTCGCTATGAACCAAGCATTGGCCTAGATACTTCACATAGATTACGTCTTTATGATTTTTATTTTAGATAGTGAAAACACAATTGAAGGGGCCCTTTAAATATGTGCAAACCATTTTAACTGTATCTTAAATTATGCTTGTTTGAGCAAAAACTTTGAGATTTCAAACCCGTTTTAAAAACTTTTTTAATGTAATTGTGCATTCCCATGCAGTTTTAAGTAATAATAGAGAGATTCCTTCTACTCTATCCATTTCCCCCAATGGTAACATCCTGTATTATTATGGTATAATATTACAACCAGGAAATTGATATTGATGCAATCTACAGCATTTAGTCAGATTTCACCCATTTTATATGTACTTCTATTTTTTTTATTTTACTAAGTGTGTATTTAGTTTTATGCAGCTTTATCATATGTGTAGATTTCAGAGAGTACCTCCACAGTCAAGATACGGAACAATTCCATCCCAAGGATCCTCAGTACTTCTTTATTGCAATCATGGACACCTAATCTATAACAACTGCCTAATCCATAATCCCCTCACCCAAATCCATAACAACCATGAATCTGTTCTCCATTATCATTTTGCCATTTTAATACTGTTGTATAAATGGAATCACATAGTATGTAACCTGTTGAGATTGGCTTCTTGCACTCAGCATGTCTCTGGATCTTCATTCAGGCTGTTGCATGTATCCATAGTTTGTTCCTTTTTATTGCTGAGTTGTATTCCATTGTATGGATATACCACAGTTTGTATAACCATTCACCTGTTGGGGACATCTAGGTTGTTTCCAACTTTTGGCTGGGATAAAGCTGCTATAAAAATTCACTTACAGGTTTTTATGTAAACATAGATTTTTATTTCTCTGTTCTAAATGCCCAGGAGTCCAATTGCTGGGCCATATGGTGGCTGCATGTTCATATGCTTTATATGAAGCTGCCATACTGTTTTCCAGATGTTCCTAGCCGCAGTGTCTGAGTAATCCAGTTTCTGTGCATTTCTGCCAGCACTTTGTATTGTTGCTGTTTTTTACTGTAGCCATTTTGATAGGTATGTAGTGATATCACACCTATATATGTACCTCATTAATTTACCATTCCCTAATGGGTGAAGCTATTGAACATCTGATATTAAACCAAAGAGTTTGGTAAATGTGCCTTTGTGTCTTTTGTCCATTTTTAAGTGTTTTTTTTAAATGTTGAGTATTGAAGTTCTTTATATATTCTAGATACATGTACTTTGTCAAGTATGTGATTGGTAAATATTTTCTCCCACTCTGTAGCTTGTCTTTTTGTCCTCCTCACAGGACCTTTCTCAGTGCAATACTCCAAACATATTTTTTATTAAAATGTAAGTTGATTTTTGATTCATTGAATGTATCTTACGCATACTGAGAGCTAGAAATTTCCTTAAGAATAAATGTAATTTATAGATGCATAATACTTTTTGCTATAAAGGTGGTTGCTTGTATACTAATAAATAATAAAAGTGCTTGCTTAGGTAGTAAAGATACTAATTATGTATTTTTTCAAGTAAGAAATGAACTAAAATTTGAAATGAGGAAATGGGTTGCAGACCATCTACTTCTACCAGTTTTGAGGGGATGGGACAGTGGAATATGAAAGCAGCTTACCAAGATGTGGTGGCTTTGCACTATGTCACTTTAGCTAAGTTGGGACTATGTTTCTTGGAATTGCCTTTGCAAGATGATCTGGGTTAGGGCTGACCATAAGAAAAATTTCTGCAAGATTTGGAAGGTGAAAGTGAAGTGGCTAAGATCACATTCAGAATGTTGGCATAGGTTTTGTTGCTGCCAGGCCTCTTGCAGTTTGTCACAGAAATGTTGGTGAACATGCTGTTGGTTTGCAGCAGCACCCAGGCCCTCAGCTCCTCCAGTGCTCTCCAGATCTCGTCTTTCAGCTACTTGGAATCATGGTGCAGGTGTGTATGCAGCTCTGCAGGGAAGAGTGCCAGTCTTTTTGCAAGCCTCTTGCATTGTTAAAGTTGGAGCCTTAAAGGCAGTGGAAAACAGACATGTATTTTAGCTCATCCTTGTGGGTTCCATTTTGCCTTTGCTTCCCCCTACTTCAAGTCCATTCACCCTCTCTTCCAGAATGGCCCTGCTGCCCTGCTGGCTTTCAACTTGGATAATAGACACAGAAGCATCACACTTACATAGGCTATTTAACCAGCCCCAGCAATAGTAAAAGGTCAGATCCCCATAGTACATCCCTTCTTCTGAATCACTCATGGTGGCTCTGGTTTTCTAGTCTAACCCTAACTGATACAAATGACCATCTCTTTGTGTTCCTTGAAGTGAATTTAGAATTACAATGAATTTCTGTTTCCAGTCAAATCTCAGATTCAGTCTTTTCATAAGATCATGCCCAAGGGCATGCAAGAATATTTTTGGACCATAGTGGTACAGAATCAAAACATCTGTGACTCTGCAGCAATAACATTTTTTTTTTGCTTCTTTTTCCTTCCCTGGCCATGACCTGTTTGTAAGCCTGAAATCAAGAGAAATGCATTAAGCTACTCTGTAGAGGGTGAATTGACACAGAACCAAACTCTATGATGTCCATAACCCCTCCCTTGAAAAATGGTCCAGAATGGTTTAAAATAAACTTAGCTTTTTAATTTTATCCCAACCCTTCTCTTGGGAAGAAGATACTGCTGAATTGTTCGCAGTGCCATTCCATTCAGTAAGCAGGTGGAAGTCTGCTTCAACAAGCAAGAACCAATGATTTTTTAATGTTAAAGATGGGGAAACTAAGCAAATGAAAGGACTTTAAAATCCTGATTCTTTCTCTGTGTGTTTAGCCTATTAGATTATATTTGCTATAATGCTTTATTTTATTAAGAGCTTCTGATGGTAATATAAACCATAAGAGTGAAAGTGGGTGGTTTAAAATGTCAGAGCCAAAAAATAGACTATCTTAATATGTGCAGCTGTAGGAATTTACAGCATTTTAATGTTTGATCTTGAAGGTTTTTTGCAGTAGTTTGCATCTTTTAGTTACAAATAGTATGCCAACCATGAAAATAAGCACTAGCTAACCTCCATGCCCACAACCTTAAAGAAACGGTGATATGTTTCTTTTGTTTCTATTCCTTTTCATTCAACTTCTGTGGGATTTCATTTTGACACAGCCTGTTGCCACAAGGCTGATAAGTTTGTTTTCTAAGTCTATCATAGGACACAAGTGAAGATTCTCTAGGATGTTTGACTAGATTGTCTAGGATGTTCAGTGACAGAAATAACCAAGGGAAAATGTGATTGGAGGCAAGAAAAATTTTATAAAGAAAAATGAAAAACTGCCTTTGAAAATTTTATGCCACCCTAAGGTTATCTTGGAAGCTCCAAGAGGTGGAGGTTGTGATTATAATCTAGTAGGATATACTTTATAGACTACAGTCTGGTAGTGTAGGAGGGACAGAAAGTGAGAGGAATATATTTTTGGACTCATGAGGGTTTTTATAGGTGAGTCCCTGAATCAAGGCTTGGAAATCACCTTCCGAAGCAGTCTATTATTACCAACCAATGTCTTTTCTGTCTTTCTTTGGAGCTACATTCATATTTTTCCTAACTTTGAGTATGTCATCATCTCACTTAAAGAGAGGGGTAAGGAGGTCGGGCACGGTGGCTCATGCCCTGTAATTCCAGCACTTTGGGAGACTGAGGCGGGCGGATCACTAAGTCAAGAGATCAAACCCATCCTGGCCAACATGGTGAAACCCCATCTCTACTAAAAATACAAAAATTAGCTGGGCATGGTGGTGTGCACCTGTAGTCCCAGCTGCTCGGGAGGCTGAGGCAGGAGAATTGCTCGAACCTGGGAGGCAGAGGTTTCAGTGAGCCGAGATTGCACCACCGCACTCCAGCCTGGCAACAGAGCGAGACTCTGTTAAAAAAAATAAAAAGAGAGAGAGGGGGGTAAGGAATGCCTGATCATGCCCACACAATGGCAGTGTTTCTTTCCCAAATAATAAGATACTGTTTCTTTTCTATGAAGTCCTGTTTGATCTGACCCCTGGCTACCTCTCTGATCCCTAGTCTACCAATCTCCACCTCATTCTCTGCACCAGCATTCCAGAGCCCTTGTTCTTTGCACAGGCCAAACCCACTGCTACCAAAGGCCTTGCATGTATTGGTGGTTCCTCCTGAATGCTTTTCCCCAGATCTGTGCAGGGCTTATGTGCTCACCACCTTTGGTTTCTGCCTAAATGTCACTTCATCCCGGAGGCCTTCCCTGGTGGCCAGGTGATCAAAGTAGCAAACACTCCTCTGTGTTTTTTTACCCTTATTTCCTTACCCTGCTTTGTTGAGTTTTACCTCCCCTCACTACAGTGTAAACTCCATGAGGTTTATCTCTAGCACCTACAACTAAGCCTGGCTTGCAAAGTAGGGACTCAAGATTTATCATTGAAAGAAGGAATATTATTTGTCAATTAAAAATGAATTAATTTTTTAAAGAATGAATAAATCCTTTTTGTGACTGCTCAGATTTTTCAGGTAAATACTAAGGTAAGGCTACATGATTATAATGTAGAGAAAAAGTCTGCTTGGTTTACTTTTTCACTAATTTACCTTTGTTCTTTCTTTCTCAAAGAGAAAAGTGGAGGCAGACTAGGAATTTCCTCAGATGTATACAGAGGATACCAATGGGTTCTGTTTACTGAGAGATTCTGAAAGGGATGACTTTGAATTTCTATTGGAACTTGCTGGAACTGTAACTCTGTGTAGAGAATGAAGATCTGTAGCGCTTTTGGATCTTACTCTTCTTAGGTGGCAGGTTGCAGCACAAATGGTTGGTGGATGCTTGCTGCAAAGTTCAAGGTGAGAAACAGCAGCTGTACCTTCAAAACCCAGAATTATAGGGGGTTCTCACTACACTCCAATCTCAGGTTCCTAAGATTCATCCATGCCTATGCTTTCTATAAGGAATGGCCTTGTTGGATCAAATGGAGTACAAGTACCTGAAAATATGTTATCAGAGAAACTAACATGACAGTGATTTTTTTCTGGTCTTCGTGCTGGATTCTTGGGAGGAAACTTCTGATCCCTTGGAATTTCCCAAGTGAGAGGAGTTTCTTTATTATTCATGATGGACTCCTGGGATCACACCTAAGTTTATGCTAAGGAGGAGTTGACTCATGGTGGGCTCCTAGATGGTTATAGGGTGAGGGCTGGCTGTGGTGTAAAGACCAATTATATGATTAGAGGGTTGGGGCTGTGAGGCATGTGATATCACTCCTATATCTCAACCTCCTAGGAGGGAAGAGGGGCTGAAAATTGAATTGTTGTGTGGTCAGTGATTTCAATCAATTGTGCCTACATACTGGGACCCCCAATAAAAACTCTGGACACTGAAGTTTGCTTGAACTTCCCTGGTAGGTAATCATACCTTGATGTGCTAGGAGGGTGAAGCATCCTGAAGAAATAGAACATTTATGCTCAGGGCCCTCCTGGACCTTGTCCCGTAGGTTTCTTCCTTTGATTGGTCCTGACTTGTATCCTTTATAAGAAAACTATAGCCATAAGTATAGGGGTTACTCGATTTCTCTGAGTTGTTCTAATGAATGATCGAACCTGAGGGAGTTGTGGGAGGCCCTGATTATGTAGCCAGTTGGTCAGAAGTACTGGTGGCCTGAGGAACTTGTGGCTGATGTCTGAAGTGTGAGGAGTTTTGTGGACGACTTTGCCCTCAACTGGGAGTTTTTGTTAATTCTGGGAAGTTGATGTCAGAACTGCATTACAATCAGGCACTCCACCAAACACCAAACACACATTTAAAAAAAAATGCTAAAAATTGACAGCTCAGTTAAAACTAAAATATTTGGCCTTGGTCTGTCATAATTTTTATTATTTGCTGGCTCTCTTTTTGAGGATTTTCTTCCGGGACTTGCTACCTTCCAGATATATTTACTGATCTTCCTGCCTTCAGTTTTCTTACCCTTTCTTTAGTACAGTTATTACTCTAATAACTGTACTATTACTCTAGTACTAATGTAACAGTGACAATAACCTCCCTTCCCATGGGGCAGCTTTCCTGTGGGGCAGCTTCCTCATAGCCAGATAAGGATGTGATGCCTTGAACTCAAATCAAAGCCATGAATTTTGCTTCAGCTGCAGAGTATCAATCTCCCCTCTGGACTGTTGTTTGCATTGGTGCCTGGGAGCTACATCATTTTGTACTTCAGATACATTAAGCAATAATGATTTGCTGATTTATTCCTGGTACTGAAGGGAATGCAGAAGAAGAGCAACCAAAATGATTGAGGGCCAAAGGGATTTTTGCCTTAGAGGAGAAATGAGAAGAACCAGATGTTGTTATTTATTGGTTGAATGATCTAAGAAGACTATGGAAACCTCTTATAAGCATTTGAGATCTGTAATGATGGCAAGAGGTTGGGAAAAAGAAAGATGAACAGTAATAGAGGAATACAGGAGAATGTGCTGTGTGCTTAGCATTGGGCTGTGGAAACCCATGCTGAAAGTGTTGGAGAACCCAACACTGGAGACACCAGAAACAGATAATAAAGGGTTACTTTTAATTTTTGGTTTTCCCTGGTTTGTATTTCTTTGGAAAAGAATGTACTCTATTCTTTGTGTTACTGCTGAGAAATCTGGGCTTTTCTGGAAAGCTGGGCAATACTAGCAGCCTTCCCTTAAGCTTTGAAACCTGTCTCTCATTGTTCTGAGTATCACCTGACTTTGAATCACCTGGGTTGCTTGGGGGCCGATCTCTGGGCCCTAGTTTAGATCTGCTGCCTTGGAATATCTTGGGATGGGATCGGAGAATCAACAATTGTAGCTACCACACCAGATGATTAAGACAGTTGAGAACCACTGGGACTCATGGGGGCCCATGTTTAATGAGGTTGAGATGCTAAAATCTCCCTGGCATAATGTAGAGAAAGGAACGCAAAGGCTTATTGAGATAGGAATGCTGGCATGCGTTTATCACATGCCACCTGCACACACACACACACACACTCATGTCTCCACTGTATTCCCAGAGAGGGCCAGATGACTTTCCCTTTTTTGAGGCATTGAGAATTACATTGGTGAAGGAGCACCTGCAACTTCGAGAAGCTCTTTGGTGGATCTCTTCTGTAGGCCAGGTGTGATGTAGGAGATGCTGCCATTGAGGTGGACTTTCTGACTTCATGGGGTGATAGGTTCCTGGAGTACCAAAGACCAAGTGGCAGAGCTTAGCTGCCAAAGACAAGGTGAATGCCTTGATCATGATGGGCCTCTGGGACACAGTGATAATCAGAATGTTTTGACCTGCAGCGATCATTGGTGGTGGCTTATTAATCATATTGTCCCTAGGAATGAAGTAGATGGGCAGCCCTCTAAAATTTTGCTAAAATTTATTCCAGGAAAACTCCAGCTTCAGGGCCAGGAATCAGGCTTGGGTCACCACATGTAGAGTCATGATGTCTTACCCAGTTTGCAGACCTATGCCAGTTCCTTGAGGTAGAGCCATTTGATTGACATGGAGTTGGGGTCCTTTTGAGGAAGGACTCTAGTCCTTCTCTGCTGTGTGTCTCTGTTTCACAAATACAGACTGTTACTGTTTTGTTTTGTTTTGTTTTTCCTAAATCAGAGCTATTGTCAAAGAAGAAACTTAAAAGACAGTGATGGGGTTTATCTTAAGCTCCAGGCTGTGGGAGTGAGGAAGCAGAGGGCAGCCAACAACTCTTTCTTCTCCCTTTCTCTCCACCCCACAACCCCCTTTGGTGCCAGATTTTGTGACCCCATACCCTTTCCTGGGAAGGGATATGGCATGCTGCAAACCAGCTTATCTGAGAACTCACGGCCTTACATTTCTGGGAAGTTTTACAGGAAGGCAGAGTGAGTTCAGATGGAGAAGGGGCGATTTGGGTTCATATTTGTGGAACTCTGGAAGGTTTTCAGATAGTGAGAGATGGCTATTAAGATTATTTCCAAAAATATTATTTTATTTCCTACTGCTTGGCCTAGTTTTAAATGAAGAATGAAGGCTACACCAAATAAAATGAGAGATTCTTGAAGTCAAAGGGAAAGATGATCTTTTCCAATTGCAACTTAATGTAAGTTCAGTAAATTTTCATTTAGAATCTATTGTATGCTGAGTGAGATGGATACAATGACAAAAAGAAATTAGTTTCCTATAGTGTATGAAAAACGTTTGAGGAATATAGTTAATGAGTTTTTTAAAAAATTGGTTAAATACTTTCAAAGGGGTACATTCAGGGTGATATAGAACCTGAGATGTTCTTTTTAGATGGTATTTCATGTGGGTTGTCATTATACTTCTTTGTGGACATTTCTGGTTATCCAAGCAACTGATATAATTTTAAATCTTTAAATGTGTACTAGCTTCAGTGTTACCTCCTACTTTGAGCTGAAGCCTGCCTCTCAGTACTTTGCATATTAAAAGTTGAAAATTGCTAAAAGGGTCAGGCTGATCTTAGAGTGAGTGAAGTGAGCTGGATGTGAGGTTATGTTGTAATACTTTGCATTTCAGGTACATGGGAATATTCTCCTCTTCCAGAAATATGCTTTCTCCCATTTTTCTTCAAGCAGTCATTTTGACTGTCTTATTGCCCATGTGTGATAGTCATGCAGGCTCAAGAAATATTTCACTTTCCTCTTTACCGTACACAAAAAAAAATTGTGTGCATAATGATAAATGAATGCCTTCAGGTTAGGAATATGATAGGAATTGGTAGAGACTATGGCAAATTGTGAGCCCTTGTCCTCTCGAGATGGGCACACAGATATTTCCATGCAGCCGTGTAGGCCCAGAGTTGTCAGGTCTTCTAATATTTCAAGAGAAGCTGGAAATTTTTATATGAAGCCACCAGTTTTTAAAACCCTGATAAATAAAAAAGAAGTATGAAAGTAAAACAGAACAACCTGCAGGCTAAACCTAGCCTTTGGGAAGACAGTTTGCAACATCTTTATTGGATTGTAGTTTCCCCTTAGGGAGCTACTTAGAATAAATGCATTCCTTTAGTATTGCTTTTCATTCATCCATTCATGTTTATTCATTCATCTGAATGCCTATTGTATGATAATCATGAATGAGGCATTGTGCTAGACACTGTGGATGTAGCCATAAATATGGCAAAGATCTTTTCCCCTGGAGAACTTGGCATTATTTCTGTCATCTTTCTCTAGGCTGAGCATCTTCCATTTCCTCAAAGCTACATTCAAGAGGCATCATTTCTGAGGGTCTTCCCTCCCCCCTTAGCATCCTGAAGTTCTCCTGTGAAGGTGCTCTGTGTTTAAAAAGTCCTCTGACTGTCTGCTGCCCCACTTTGGATACCACCTATCTTGCCTCTCCCATCCTCAGGTAGAATACCTCCCTCTTCCCCATGTCTGCACCTGGTAAGTTCTCCCACTGCCAGAATTCCTTAACATTTAATTCGCTGTTTAATTACCTTGCCTGCTCCTACTATGCTGTTAACTCTTTGGGAACAGATGCCACGTCTTACTTCTCTTTGTATCTCTGGGCCCTGAATCATATCTGACATGTAGTATGTGCTTAATAAATACCTGATTGTGTAAATTGAAATGAAAAATTGTTTGATTTGTGCAGTTCCCTGTCTGTCTGGTTTGGTCTGTTTTGATAACTGACACACGTTAACTCTGTGTACATAGGGCAATGACCTATGTACAGTTTTAATCTAGATTGCAAGTATTTTGTTGTCTTTTATATCCCCATGTGAGCCTTTATTCTTACCACTATTCCGTCTAATCCTGTTAGAATTAGCTAACAATTTCAGCCATTTAAACTCTTTGTGAATGTCAGTTAGTTCTTCTGGTACATTAATTCTCCTTTCCAGATAAAGGCATTTTGTATCTTGATAAGTATACACTGTATAGTTTCATTAAACCTTTGATAAAAATATTGGACAGAACAGAGGTAATATCAGAACCCTGTGACATACACTGGAGATCTCAGTCCAAGGAGACATTGATTTATTATTCACTACTCTTGGTGTTTGCTACAAATCTATCTTAGGCTGTCTTGTTTGCAGGGAGATTTTGAGAGATTTTGATAAACGCCTTTGTTAAAATAAAGATGTGATGCATGCATCACATCCCCTTTTCTATTAAATTATGAGGTTAATCAGTGAACCCCCTTTTTGTGAACCCATATTATCTCCCAGAATCAGAACTTCTTTTCTCTGTGATCACACGTAGAATACGCTAGAAGCTTTCGTTAGCATTTTGTCTCAAGCTTACTTGTCTGTAATTTGGAGAATTCACTCTCCATCTTTTTAGATATTTTAAAAATATTCCTAACTCCAGATTCAGGGTGATTTCTTAAAGCTTAGATTCACCAATGTTAGGTTCCAGGTAAGGGACTTTCACAGCATTATGTCATTACTGCGGGGACTCCTCATTCAGCAATTTATTTTATATTTTGGGATCTAATTGAATTCACTTCATACACCAGGCATTCTTGTGTGTACGTTTTTAAGCTTCTGATGCATGAACGATATCTTGTGCAAGCGTGTTTTTTCTATAACCCCACAGATGGAATTAGGTGCATTAGGGCCTGTTATTAAATTTAAGCCAACCGTCAGAAGTCTCTCTATTCTGCATGTCTGTCTTACAGAAGTATTTTTTCAGATTTTGACTAAGTTCAAGAAATAACATGGATAACGCTTGGACATTTTCAGATATGACACATATGAACCACAAAGGTGATTCATGCCTACCATTTTATACTGTTTTTGGAAGGAGAAAGGAATATATGTTAAATACCTGATAAGAGTATAGGTAACATAGTAATAATGCCATCTTTAATGATGCTTTTCAGTTTTTGAATGGTTGAATAATAAATACTTTGCAAAAATAAGCCTTTTTTTTTCTTTTTAAAGAAATGGTGCTATTATTTGTGATCCAAATTTATTATCTAAATTTTAGGATCCATGGGAGTAGTCAAATTTATCAAGGATTTGGCTTGTTAGATGTCTTGCCTTTCTCACTATTGCCATTTTTACCATTTACACTGTGAGATGCATTCTTGTACATTCACTCTAACATCTTTTATATGTATATGTACATATGTATGTATTTGTATATATACTTATGTATATATAGTTTATATATATTTTATACAAACTTTTCTTGTTACTTCTTTATGGAAAATTCCTGGAAGTGGAATTTTCAGTCAAAAGTGCATACCTTTTAAAGCCTCCAATGCATGTTGCCAACCAAGAGACCTTCCAACTTGGACACCTACCGATCAGATGTGAGATTGCCTGTTTTCTCTCATCCTTGTCAGTGGTGTGAATGAATTTTAAATGAATGGTTTAGTGTGGAAAGCTCAGCCTGCTGAAGTGGAATGCAGTGTAAAATCAGTCTCAGAGGGGTGGACTCTTAGGGAACTGCATCCAAGTTCTCCAAGGACCTGGACTTGGTCTTGACCTTCCTTAACAATTATCCCATCCCAAGCTTTCTGACTTCAAGCAGCTCTGCTGCCTCGTGTGTGTTTCTATACAGGAATGGCATGCTGGTCTCCCCGCTTTGTTGGACCTATGAGTTCTCTAGTTCACTGCCTATTCCTTTTTCCCTCTGGATGGGCAATTTCCCACCAGGCTCCTGTATTGAGGATGCTGGGGTGTGTGCAGACTCATGAGTCTGCCAACATACAGCTGAGTCAAATCTTGCATCAGAGCCCTGGAGTTGGATCCAATTCAACAATTTAGTTTTCTAGGCTTAGTTAAGACTCTGATTACTTCAGTGGGAGTGAAAATGGAGTTTATTAGTAACTATGACATTTGCATTCATATGTCCAAATAAATCTTGAGATGTTTAAAATTCTGTAGGTTAAAGCTGTGCATGAATTACGTCAATTATTTAGAATACGCGTATGTCATCTCTAAAGCTGACTTTTTCATTCTTAGTTGTTTTGGCAAAGAAGAGCTGTTTCTATAAGAGAAGCAGATCAAAGGCCTGAGAATTGAAGACCTGGGATTGCTGTTTTGGTAAAATTGACTAGAATACAGACAACTGTAGGCAGCACCACTTAGGGTATCAGTGCTCCCTGGAAAGAACCATACCTTGTGCAAGTGTATTTTTTCTGTAACCCCACAGAATCAATTGGGTGTATTATGTCCTGTTATTAAATTTAAGGCAACCTTCAGAAGTCTGTCTATTCTGCATTTCTGTCTCATGAAAGTATTTTTTTAAGATGTTGAGCAATTGGTTTTCTTTCCCTTTGTGGTTCTCTTTTAATTGCTTTGTCACAGTCTTAGAAATCAGGTACTGAGATCTGTGGGAATTTATGTTAAAAACATTTAATACACATTGTGGAACATGATGCTTTTGCTCATCTTTTCATTTCAGCTGCAGCTGGTAATAGCCTGTAGGTTCCCTAAAGCTTCCTTTGTGGGGTGGTAATTAGGTGATGCTTCCAGCTGCATAATCTAGAAACCTGGTTCCTGGTGGCACCATGGGTGAGAGAACACATTCATGCTTCATTTGTCCCAACTGTGACTATAATCGTAGTTTCATGGTTTCTGTTCATCTCCGGTGTATGTGGCTCTGACCCATGGCCCTTTGGACTTCCCTTTCAACACTCAGTTGCTTGGGAAGAGCCAGCAGTGAAAATAAGAATATTAAGGGGGCATATTTGCATTAGCCATGGAGTGATGGAAAAACAGGCTCAGCACCTGTTTGCTTGCCTTCTCAGTGAGACCAAAGTTCCCTGAAATAATATTGTATTGTATATGCATGGATTTCTGCACATGGGACAATTCTGAAATAGGAAAAATGTGATACATACCCAAGGCTAAAAAATAACCCAATGTTGGGAATCATTTAAAAATCATTAATCTAATAGCTTATCTTTTTAAATGATGGATTCCGTCTGTGTTCCTTGTGTTTATGTTGAGTTTGTAGCTAATGCAGTTTTTTTCTTTTTTCTTTTGTTTTACAGGCTAAACATATTTTTGACTGGTATGAACCCATTCTACTTTCATGCAGTAAATATAATTTTACACTGCTTAGTGACTCTTGTGCTGATGTACACCTGTGATAAAACTGTCTTCAAGAATCGTGGACTTGCTTTTGTAACGGCATTGCTTTTTGCTGTACATCCTATTCATACTGAGGCGGTAAGTGTAATTGGATCTCAGTGAAATAACGAATATGAATGTGTGTATGTATACGTGTATACGTGTATACACACACATATATATACATGTAAATATGTGTGTATATGTAGATATGTGTGTGTATATAGATATATACATGTAAACTAAGCTGATCTTTTTTCCTTTTCAAAAACATATGAGTTCACTCTATTAAAGTGTTTATGTTTATATATAAAGCATTTTGGTTGACAACTTTTCCTTTTGAATGTTCAAATTGGTTTTCTTGCACCTCCTGGATTTAACTGCTTTTCTAAATAACTGCTGTTATTATTACGGGTAGTAATGAATGGCCACAGTTTGTTCAGTTTTGTATTTGCAGATAATTTAAGTCCTAATGTGTTTTAAGCAGCAAGGGCCATTCGAGACACTTACCATGCTGAGTCATTGTTCCTGCTCCACATTTGTATTTTATCTTTTCTCACCCTGCTATATTTTATAATGTTTATTACGCAGAACTGTAAGTGCTGGGGAAGAACTATAAAAAATTAGACTGACATTCTTCAAGTTAGAAAGACAGACTTAGGAGCCTTACATACTGTTTCCCAAGTTACTTAATAGGAAGGGTAGTTATTGTGTGGGTGATGAAAAATTTATTTAAAAAGTATTGGCTGGGTGTGGTGGCTCACGCCTGTAATCCCAGCACTTTGGGAGGCTGAGACAGGCAGATCACTTGAAGTCAGAAGTTCAAGACCAGCCTGGCCAATGTGGTGAATCCCCATGTCTACTAAAATTACAAAAAAACTTAGCCAGGTGCAGTGGCGGGTGCCTGTAATTCCAGCTACTTGGGAGGCTGAGGCAGGAGAATCACTTGAACCCAGGAGGTGGAGGTTGCAGTGAGCCAAGATTGCACCATTGTACTCCAGCCTGGGCAACAGAGTGAGACTCTATCTCAAAAAAAAAAAAAGTATTGATAGCTATGGCCCTTTTTAAAATATTTATTTAATCATTCCATGAATCAGATGGCATTTTTAAGCTGCTTTGTTTCCCAGCTCAGTAAATACAACTGGTTTGTTTGATGTGCATGGCTAGGGGTAGATGAAAACTTGATGAGAGGTCCATGGGCACCACAGTTTTACAAGACTCTTTTCCAGAGTTTCAGCTTGCATCTCTTTGGACGCTTCCCTGAAGCTGATCTGCCTGAGTACACACCTGCAGTAAAGATGTCATGGTGGTTTCCTTCTCCCTCCTCCATTTCTCAGTTGCCCTCTGCTCATTTTAACAAAGTTAAGGAATACCTTGTGTACACCAGCATCTTACTATGCCCCAGGTGTACAAGCCTCTGAGGTACCTTACAAAGGAATAGTCTGATATATCAGTGTCAGCAAGGCATTCTCCAATTAAGGCATCACAAACCCAAAGGAGGGCTTCACATCTCTCCCTGTCTAACACGTATCTCTATGAAGAATATAACATGGCCTTAGAAGTAAGGTATGGTGGCCTGTGTTGCTGTTCTAAATTCAGAAGTGACATAGTTGTCATGGGGATGCATAATAGTATGTTTATTTGAATGGACACAAGAAGTCTGATCTGACCAGTTGGTTTGATGATGAGGACTGGTTTGCCAGTTAGGCTCTACGATGGGCATTTTCCACCAACAAAATTCTAAATCTGTAAGCTCAAAGTTTTGACAAAAATATATTTTGATTGGGTGATGAAGAAAGATCACTTTATAAAAAAATTACACTGTGAAAGGTCATTTTCCCAACTCTTTGTGAGTATTTTAGACTGAGCAAGGTGCCTTTAAGTGGATGAGTATGAGGCATAAGTAATAGTCCTTTGGTGAGTCTCAGTAAAGCTTTTCTGCTGTACTTAAAAGAAATTGTGACAGTAAATGACTGTAATGACAGGTAACTCTAATGATGGCTATGTTTAAATTCTTTGCTTTCAACCAAATTAAAGGAGGACTTGATTGCACTGTCTGTTGGTAGATCATTAAAAATTATGTAAGGTGATAGATCATTATGTGATATTTGCCAATAACTTGGAGTTCAAAGAATAAAGTCATTGCTGTAACAGGTCTACTTCCATTTTCACTTATTTATGTGAACATCCTATGAAGATGAAAGCTAGGAATAGTTGGTACCTGCTGTCATAGTCTAACAAAAGGTAAGATTCAGCCACAGACAACTGAACTTACTGAAAATAAATCTGTTATACCTAGATTATTAAGAGGTGATTTTTTATATTTATTAATTATTTATCATTTTCTGTTTTATTTATGATATATCAAGTATCTGTGAATTAATAATTGGAATAGTAATACAAAATTTAAATTTTAACACTTAGAGGCTTATGGTCAAAAGAAATTTGAAATATAGATTTAATTGTATATTTTTTATTATAGGGAGAAGGATGATAAATACAATAGTTTTAAGCATAACTATGTAATTTACAAAAATGAGGGGGAAATACAATGAAAGTATGAGTTCAAGGAGAAAGGGTATGAAGTGTCTACCAATTAAAGAAGAGCCTATTCATGTTTAGGTAAATGGAAGATGATGAGCTTCAAGTTGCTGTAGTGTTCAAATGACATTTGGTAAATTTAATACAGGAACATTATGGCCTCATTTTGAAATGTCGATATCTACAATGCATAGGAAGTTAGATCCTTTCAAGTATTTAAAATTATGATGAAAAATTTTTGATATGAATTGAAAAAAATAAGAGAGATACTTAAGTTTTTAATGTTCTTTTTGGATAAAATATGAAGAAAAATAATCAAAGACTACTACTACTAGACATATAGAATATGTGATGCTGGGCCAATGGCATGTTTTACTATAAAACCATAGACAGCATTTTATTTCTGACAAATAATTCTTCTTGTACAATTGGAAATCTGTGCTTAGAGCATATTGGGGACAATTACTGCGTGAAAGAACAAATGAGTAGGGCAATAACAGTTTCAATTCAGAGGTATCAGAGAGAGAGTGCATAAAACACAGGCAGCCTGTGGCAGTATGATCAGGAACTGGTTAAGGTTGGTTCCTAAGAAAAGAGGAAAATCCTATTAGCAAAATGACCTTAAAAAAAGTTGCAGCGAGCTTTTGTACTAATTGAAAAAAATCCATAGTAACACAGTGAAAGGGACAGAGGAGTCTTAGAGCTGGGTAGTTATTTAGGGAAGGATGTTAGGGAGGATGCTTACATTCATAAGGTTCTGAGGGAAGTCTAAGAAGGAGGCAGAGAAATTTAGCCTACAAAACAATTTACATGACAAAGTAAAATTGGGGGACTTATTATTTAGTCATGGATTTCAATTCAAGTTTCTAAGTAGGAGGAGGACAGAGAAATAGAAAAAGAGATGTACTTTCCAGAAGATATAGAGATAAATTATTAATATTACTATTTGAGACAGGGTCTGACCCTGTAGCCCAGACTGGGATGCAATGGCATGATCATAGCTTACTGCAACCCCCATCTCCTGGGCTCAAGCAATCCTCCCACCTCAGTCTCCCCAGTAGCTATGACATTAATGGAACTCATTCTTGCAGATAAAATAAATATCAATAGCCTTATACATATAGTATACTTTATACAAATATTATTGGTGGTATTCCAAAGACAGGTTTCTATAGCAAATTAACTCCTAATTTGAAATTTCTGCCTGTGATATTGTTAACCTTGCTAGAAGATCTGAGGATCTGCTGTTACATTATTTGAATTCTATCCAATTATGTTCACTGATGTTTCTCCTTCCAGTGTTTGAATATTTGTTAGAGGCTGCAGTTCCCAGGTTATAGCCACCATGTTGGTAATGGAAACCTGTAGTTTGAGGCTAAAATACATGCTGGCCATTTGCATATATTTTTCACTAACCATGAACTGACCAGTTGCTTTTGTACTTTCCAGCATCCTACAATTCAGCCTACATTGTCATAAAATCAACTGGCTCCAGTTTAATGTTCCATCTTTGCTTCCCATTGCCCCTCCTCACTTCTTTATTTACTCCATGCTCTTCATCACCTTAGGTCTCCCCTTCCAGAAGCACACCATGTATCTCCAGACCTCTCTTTCTCTGCCATTCTTGTATCCTCCACCTGGAAAGCATTTTTGTTCCTTCCTAGGCCTAGGCTGAGCATTCCCTCACCTTGAGCTTCCTCTCGCCTTGAGCTTCCTGAAATCCTCCTTGTCTATGTTTAAGTCACAGTTTACATGGCCAGACCTGTGAAGCCTTCCTAGATCCTACAGTAAAAATTAATCTCTTCAGTCTTCTCTTGGTAATGGTTTCTCCTCTTATGATGCATGCAGTTTCCTTGTGTGCTATTTAATACCCTCTTTTGACTCCCCACCAGATGTTAAACTCCTTGAGGCTGATTATATGTTTCCAACTGGCACAGGATGTAGCTAAGAGGAAGCACTTGGAAAATGTTTGTTAACTGGAGTTAAACACACACTTACTGAACATGACAATACTGACTAGTTGAATCACAATGAATGGCTGGTCTAGACATACAGTAGTTAATGACTATTATAGCACCTGTTTTTAGATATCTAGGCTTTTGCCCCAAATACCTCAGTTCAACAGGGGTATAGAATAGGTGTTCAGTGCATGCTTAGTGGTTTGGACTGGCAAGAGAGCCTATCAGTGTTACACGAATATTTGAACACCCTCTTTGAGCTTCTCCTGCAAGGGACACTACATTCTTTATATCTGGGCACATCCAGCTGGCACAGTCTGCTGTTGTCTCTTCCAAACTGGCTGCAATGCAAGAAGCCAGGCTGCAGGACGCCTTTAACACATTAGTTAAGCTTGTCTAGCTTGTGATTGCCTCATTCCAACTTGCTACACCCAGTAACAGCTTGCAAGTCTTGCTGTTGGCTACATCAGTTGTGCTGTGATGAGTGCCCTTCTCGGTCCAGATGCTTAGGCTTATCTCAAGACTGTTGCTAGAGAGCTAGGCTCTCTGTTTAACCTTCAGGAAGACTTGCAGGTGATGCTGAGCTAAATGTTCAAGGAGGTGGTAGTGTAGTCTGAGCAGATCTGGGCTTACAGGTGACCTGTATACACTTCGGCTTTACAGCCTGTGAGACTGAGCTGAACCTTGACATTGTGGCGACACCACACTGTCACTGCATTCGTCTCTTGAGTCATGCAGTCTTCCTGATTTGGTACTCAAGTTCCTTATAGATTAATGAATCAATGAACAGCATGTGGTACAAGCAGCCACGTCAGGTAATAGCTTTCAGCTCTGTATTGCCAATGGTATTCTTTGGCCATGTCCAGGTTTCTCTTAATGCAAGAAGGACTGGAATTTTTCTCAATATGTGACTTGCTGTCAGTCCATCTGTGTGTGTATAATTGAGTTATGTTTTATGTAGATTTTAACTAACAGATACATTAGATTATCTAATAAAGTTCACAATTAAGATACCGTACGTGTAAACCTTAAAGTAAAAAGATGATTTCTATAAGCCACACAGGAAAACCTATCTCAGTGTTAAGAGTTCCACCCCCTTTCTCTGAAAAAAAGAAAAAAGAAAGGGGGAGAAAGAAGTGCACCAGCATTTATCCAGCAGGCCCTTTATGTATATATCATCTCATGAATTACAACCACCCTGAGGGAGTGGGTGTTACATGGATTTTAAACATAACAAAACCAAATCTCAGATGGCAAGAGCAGTCTACATTCAGACCTTGAATGGTTTACCTCCATGCTTATTTTGTTTTTAAGTTTTTGAGACAGGTTCTTCCTCTGTCGCCCAGGCTGGGGCGCAGTGATGTGATCTCGGCTCACTGCAGCCTCTACCTCCTGGGCTCAAGCAATCCACTCACCTCAGCCTCCCGAGTAGCTGGGACCACAGGTGCACACCCGGCTAGGCATTTGTATTTTTGGTAGAGACAGGGTTTCTCCTTGTTGCCCAGGCTGGTCTTGAACTCCTGAGCTCAAGGGATCTGTCCACCTCGGTCTCCCAAAGTGCTGGGATGACAGGTGTGACATGAGCCACTGCGTCCGACCACCTCCATGCTTATTCACTGCTTCTCCTTCATGACTGCAAAGCGTGCTCATTGCATCAGGATGCTTATAGGTATATTTCCCAGAAAACTATTTCCTACTATTAATTGTTGATGGATTCTTTAACACACCATAGACCTCGGGTCTTCTGTGACGTGGGTGATACTATTCCTGTGCCTGAAATGTCAGCCCAGTTCATCTCCCTTTTGAGCTGTTCCTCATCATTCAGCTCTTATGGTACCTGTTCTTTGGAGCATTTTTAAAAAGCTATATCCCATTTTTTCCCTTGACTCTCTTATTTCTTGGATTAAAAAAAAAACGAGAAATGCATGGATATGTAGCAAAATAGTGTGAAGATTTGTAAAGAGTCATCTGTTTCCCATCCCTCTTCCATTTCAATCTTCTTCTGAAGTAATGCATTATTTGAAATAATTTCAAACTTAAAAAATATGGAGAATAACTGTATACTTTCTATCCAGAGTCACTAATTTTTCACATTTTCTCACATTTGTTTTATCACCTTCCTCTCTTTCTCTCTCAATATATAAAAATCTTATTTATTTTCTGAAGCATTTGACAGTAGGTTGCACAATTCATACTCCTTTATACTTTAATAATTTAGTTGTACATTTTTGAAAGCTGAAAGCATTAGTCATTTCTCTTCAGTTTTCATTAGTCTCCTTTAGTATGAAACAGTTACCAGTCTTCATTGTCTTTCTATAATATAATTTATAGATTATAATATAATTTAGAATTTATATTAGAACATGTAAAATAAGAAAACATGTTATATTGCAATATATGGTTTAATATATTCTATAACTGTAATATAAACATATAATACTTATTAATATGTTATACAATTTATAACATATACTACATATAATTTATAGATAGAGCATATTATATAAAAAATACATAATATATAAATAATATATGATATATAGTATATATATGCAAATGCAGAATGAATAATAAATATAGAAAATATAATATATGCATATCATATATGTAATACATTATACATATAGTATATAATAAATACAGTATTATAATTGATTATAATGAGTTATATAATTATGAATCATGGTATAATATACATTAGAATAAATTAATATGCAATAAAATGTAACGCTACAAAATATTGCTACACATAAAATTTATAATTTGTTAGCGTAATATATATTCATTTATATTTTTATCAAATGTTCCTCATATTGAGTTTGATGTTTTCTCATGATTATATTCAGGTTATACGTCCCTGCTAGAATACTGCATAAATGATGGTTATGATGGTTCCTTCTCAGGAATGGTGATTTTAATTTGATTCCACAGTTAAGACGTAGTGCAATATAATGCATTTTTTCCATAGTGTTCTTTTTAAGTTTTTTCATTTAATAATTAGTAAATAGACACTTTGAAGTCCTACTAATACTTTGCACCTCAAAAACTTTCATGCCCTAGGTTTAGCATCCATTGATATTTTTGATATTTCTTGCTTGCTCCAGTCTTCACTCTTCTGGAAGCAAAATGGTTATTTCCCAACTCCTCTGCTCCCTCCACATTCATTAACTGGCTTTTTAATGAAGGAAGAGGTCTCCTTTCTTTCCCATTCACTTGCTTGCTGTATATATGTATGTACATTTATATGTATCCATTCATTCATTTATGTATATACAATTATGCATTGCTTAACAATGGGGACATGTTCTGAGAATGAGTGGTTAGGTGATTTTGTCATTGTGCAAACATCATAGAGTATACTTATACAAACCTAGATGCTATGGCCTATTGCTCTTAGGCTACCGTACTGAATACTGTAGGCAACTGTAACACAATGGTAAGTATTTGTGTATCTAAACATATCAAACATAGAAAATATACAATAGAAATATGGTATTATAATCTTGTGGGACCACCATCATATATGTGGCTCGTTGTTGACCTGAAAGTTGTTATTGAATGCATAGCTGTATTTATTATTAGTATGGACTCATGGATTTCATTTTCAATGGTTTATAATATATTATTGTACCATTTATTTTAATATTCAAATTGCCTTAAGTTTGTTCGGTGGGATCCCATTGTCCTGGCTTCTATGACCTTTTGACTGTCATTTTATAAGCATTTTCTTACTTTCTGACACGAGATGATCCAAGCTCCTCTTGGATTTCCCCAGCCTCAGCCCTGGTGTCAGCCAGTTTTCCAAGGAGCTGGTGTTCTCTTTCGTGGGGAAATGGTTTGTGGTTAGTGCCAAGATGGCCCTTTGCTACTGAGGTTTTATATTTATAGGCCCTTTCAGTGATAGAGCTAAGAAAAATATGCACACATGCACATACACATATACTCACATATAGCAATCATGAGTTCAAACTCATTCCCTTTCCTGTTTATTTTTTTATTTTTTGAGACAGGGTCCACTCTGTCACCCAGGCTGAGTGCAGTGGCACGATCACAGCTCACTGCAGCATTGACCTCCAGGGCTCAAGCAGTCCTCCCACCTCAGCCTCCTGAGTAACTGGAACTACAGGCATGTGCCACCATGCGTGGCTAATTTTTGTATATTTTTGTAGACACAGGGTTTTGCCATGTTGTCCAGGCTGGTCTTGAACTCGTTAACTCAAGTGTTCCGCCAGCCTCGGCCTTCCAAAGTGCTGAGATTACAGATGTGAGCCATCCTGCCCGGCCCCATTCTTGTTAAAAGTATTGATTCTCAACTTACTTTTTTCTAGTTCTCTAAAAATATTGTCTGCTCCATTAGCAGCATGGTACACAGAAGGACACAGTGTCTGACTCTCAAGTATTGCTCAAAAATTTTTTTGAATAAGTTAATACATGAATAAATTTTGATGCCGTGAATTGACGCTCTGAGAGCTTAAAAATAAAGTGTGGAAATCTTGCCCCTTCCGTCCATCCTCTTTTTTCCTTACATAAACTCGTTATTAAATATATATGATAATCAGAGGTGCTTAGCCATATATCAGAACTTGAAGAACAGTGAGATTTCTATTTTATTATATCTTCCATTTATCTAACAACAAATACATTTCTGTAATGGATTTGTGTAATAGTTTTCTGAAAGTAATTGTCTGAAGTTTCATTTTTTATTATTTTAACTTCCAAGGTGGCTGGGATCGTTGGCAGAGCGGACGTGTTAGCGTGTCTGCTGTTTCTATTGGCCTTTCTCTCGTACAACAGGTATGTGTAGCTAAGAATGCCCTTCTCTGTGATCGCAACTGTGCCGTGTGTGTAGACTGGGAGCATGTGCCTGAGAGGAGAGAAGCTTCTGGTTGTGAAATGCTAAGCAAGATTTCCAGGGACCAGGAATAGGAAACTCTCTGCTTGTCCAGTGCTGGGCCGTTTTCTCTTCCAACCCCATTCTGAACCACACTGTAGCACCTTAAAGGGATTGCTTTCCCAGTGTTGGGAACCCAAGCACTTGCTTTATCATTCCTTTTACTTGTAGTTTCTTACTGAGAAGTGAATTTGGAATCTTCGCTCTAAGCCAAAATGTATTTGATGCAATGTTCTCTTTTATTTGCCTATAATTTGCTTAATTTTTCCTTTTCATTTTGTTCCTAATACTTTTTCTCTTAGCCTCACCAAAGTAACTCAGAGCTTAAAATGACAAAGCTGAGTATAAAGTAGCATTTCTCGACTGTGGTTTTCCAATTTACATATAGTTTCATCAAAAGACAGAAGTTTTTTGCATTGGGAAACTGAAAAGCCTTAAAATAATTTCCCATTATATTACACCTTTACCCTAAACCAATCAGATTCTCATCTGAGTCATGTCATGTCCATATAGAGAAAGGAGTGGATTAAAAAGAGAATGTGAATGGGGGCAGCTCAGAGCATGTCCTGTGATATGGTTTGGCTGTGTCTCCACCCAAATCTCATCTTGAATTGTAACTCCCAAATCTCATCTTGAATTGTAACTCCCACAATTTCCATGTGTCGTGGAAGGAACCTAGTGGGAGGTAGTTGAATCATGGGGGTGGATCTTTCCTGTGCTGCTCTCATGATAGTGAATAAGTCTCACGAGATCTGATGGTTTTAAAAATGGGAGATTCCCTGCACAAGCTCTCTTTGCCTGCCGCCATCCATGTAAGATGTGACTTGCTTCTCCTTGCCTTCCACCATGATTTTGAGGCCTCCCCAGCCATGTGGAACTGTGAGTTCAATAAACCTCTTTCTTTTGTAAGTGGCCCAGTCTCAGGTATGTCTTTATCAGCAGCGTGAAAACAGACTAATACAACCTGGAAAAGGGGGGCAAGTCAACCATGTTGCCCAGTTTCATGGAGAGATGCCTGATTAAGCATTTGGTGGCCCTGATCTTTGGATCAGTTCATTGACCTATAGTCTTACAAAGCCCAGTGACTGAGGAACACTGTTCTAAACCAGTGGCTCTTAATTAGGGGTGATTTTCCTCCTCGTCCTAGCCACTACCTCCTCTACCTGCAGGAGACATTTGGCAATATCTGCATACGTTTTTGGTTGTCACAACTGAAGTGGTGTTCATGGCATCTAGTGGGTAGAAGCCAAAGATGTTGCAGAAGAGACATTCTGCAATGCACAGGACAGTCCCTACAACAAAGAATTATCTGGCAGAAAATGCCAGTGGGGCTATGATTGAGAAACCTGTTACAAACCAATCTAGACCTTGTGTCAATAATGAAATGAATTAAGTCTTAGGAAGTTTTGTTTTGTTTAAAGGGTGGAACATTTTCTTAGCATAGTGTAAGTCTTCTGCTCCTGGCTTTGTAACTTCCTACTGCATTCTTGATCATATGATGTGGTGTTATGAAATCTGAAAATATAAGCCAAAATTTAACAATTAATTGTTTCTTGTTCATTCTGGCATTAGAATAGAAGTAATAATTGCTTTGGAGTTTAAACTTGTTCTCTAGGCCTGTTCTTTGTGGTTAATATATTTGGGGGCATGATTAGGCCTGCAGTGTATCCATATCTGTATGATAATGAGCCATGTTATTACAGATTGGTTTTGCATGCCATTCTCACTTTCAGAAATTTGAGCTATAGACCAACTCAATAGAAAAAAATGCCTCTCTACTGCAAATTCTGCATATAATGTTATGCAATTGTTCTAAGAACACTAAGGAGAAGGTGTCTCAACTACAGAAACATTGGCCTTTACTTCAATGGAATAGGAGCCAATAGGTGTGGTACCTGTTGAAGGGAACAGTGATGTCTCTTGGTAGGGGGCCCGCTCTGTTTTACAAGGTGAAACAAAAGCTTAACAGCACCGGAGAGATTTTGAAAATCCTTGTTGGAAATTAAACTGAGAAAAAAATAAACTTTACCTAAGATATGCTCATAGAAAATGAATTTAAATATTTTGGCTAAATGAATTTAGCCAAAAGAAAAAAAGGTTAAAATAGTTGTATTTTCATCCCAGAGAGAAATGCTTATTATATTTTGGCATATATATCCACTGGCAACTTTGTTTTATGTATGGAAGCATATAAAACACTTCACTACCATAATGATGATGGTGATACACACTTGATGTGTGACAAGTCATTCGTTTAATCCCCCCTACAACGCTATAATCCCTTTTCACACATAAGGGAACTGAAGCACCAAGAAGTAAAGCAACTTGCCCCATATTATCCTGTTAATTGACGGCTGTGGTTAGCAGGGAACCCAGGGAACCTGGCCCCTGAGCTTATGCATATAGTTTAGTAACTCGATTATTCACTTAGAATGTATTCACTTAAACATCTTTTCATATGACTAAGTATGTCTCTCTGGTAGAATTTTAAATGGCTTTTTGGTGTTCATTTGTTTGTTACATACCGTAGTCTGTGTATATTGCAATTTAAGTACAAAATTCAGTATTGTGGGGATGAAGGCTCTTTAAGAAATCTCTACTTACCTGCTTAATTACTTAGAATGCAATGAAATTGACATTAGATCTTATCTTTAAGAGGTGGCATTTCTTAGCAGACCATATTCTTTCTTAGATTAAAAGAATCTCCAACTTGTTTTTCAGGAGTCTGGATCAGGGCTGTGTTGGGGGAAGTTTCCCTTCCACGGTGTCTCCCTTCTTCTTGCTGCTCAGTTTGTTTCTGGGGACCTGTGCGATGCTGGTGAAAGAGACAGGCATCACGGTGTTTGGAGTGTGCTTGGTTTATGACCTCTTTTCCCTTTCCAACAAGCAAGACAAGTCGTAAGTCATTTTACAGTTTTGATATCAAATGGCATGTCATGGGCAGAGAAAAATTACTTAATAGTTTCCAAACTTCCATTTAAAAAATATAACACTTTATTAAATGTCATCTCACCTTAGACTGTCACGTAATCAACAAGGCTTATTTCATTAAGATAAGCGCATTATATATGTTCAAATGCTTCACACTTTTGTATAAATCAGTGAGGACTATGAAGTTTTTGTGAGCCCCAGATTTGGAATTGAAAAGTATCTGTGTTAATTGCAAGTTTATATTGCTGGTTTGTTTTGGTTGCATGCTGCTGAGAAAATCTTGATTCATAAAAATAGTGATTGCAAATGGTAACAGTTTTTCACAGCTTGCTTTGAATCCCTGCATTTGCATGAGTGTTATCCATCAAAGAGCCCCTTTTCCTGCTCTTCTAATGATGCTGTTACCTAAGAGTTTTAGGAGGCACCCATTGGAATTCCACAAAGAGCCAGTCTACACCATACAGGAGTACGTACACGTCATATTCAAATTAATGAACAAGCTTATTTAGTAGCCTAATTTATTTAAAAAATTTAAGGCACACTCATTTTATGTTGTGGCTTATAGATGATAAGAATCACTAAGGCATATTAAAAGTTCAAGCACATACTATAATTTTCTTCCCCATCAAATCCATAATTACCAGTAATTTTACAAGCAGGCCCCATTTTTCAGTAATTATAAGGTCCTTACTTTTAAACTTTTAAAAGATGTGGCTAATTTATTCCCCTGCCGTATCAAATGAAGAATTTTATCTGAAAAAACAATCCTGCTTTTTAAATCCCATTTCCTACCTCTTTATACTTCTTGACATAAAGATAAGAGCAGTGATATTGAGTGGCAACACGCTGAGATGAGTCAGGAAATTCTGATCACCTTCCTGCCTGGAAGTGTGATAGTTGGGGATAATTTAAAAAGAGTGTAGTGCTCTGTTGGCTCTCGGTAAATCTCAGAGGCTTGTAAAAACTTGGAGCCAAATAATCACTTTGACCCAAACTCGTGCCAAGAAAACCGTGAGCCAGAGGCCCTCCCTTTGGCCTATGTGAGGTTGCCTTTCCTCCGTATCCTCTGACCAGTGGGAGTAATTGCATTGCCCATCTTACTTTTTAGGGAACAACCTGTAAACCCCTTTTCCACTTTCTTCTTGCATCTACCTTGTCTCAACCTCCTAATGTCTTTCTGCTATGCCTCACTGACAGCAAAAAGATAAGACAGCTGACTGCAGATGCGTTCTCTCACGTGGTCCAGTCCAGAGCTATTTTAATGTTGTCATGAAAGTCATGTCTCCTCTGATCTTGGGACTCTCCAGCCCACTGGTGCCTACACCTCTTTCTTTCTTCTTCATGTAGTCACTGTTGAGCCAGGCCTTTTTCAAAAGGGATACTTGTCTCTTTTTTTCTTTACCTTCATCATACTAAATGGCTAGAAATTCTTTGGGAGGATTAATACTGCTGATACAAGTCCCGCAGCTCAGTCTGGGTCTTTTTTTTTTTTTTTTTTAAAGAAACTTTTAGGCTGGGCGTGGTGGCTCACGCCTGTAATCCCAGCACTTTGGGAGGCCAAGGCCGGCAGATCATGAGATCAGGAGATAGAGACCATCCTAGCCAACATGGTAAAACCCCATCTCTACTAAAAATACAAAAATTAGCTGGGCATGGTGGCATGTGCCTGTAATCCCAGCTACTCGGGAGGCTGAGGAAGGAGAATTGCTTGAACCAGGGAGTCGGACATTGCAGTGAGCCAAGACTGCGCTACTGCACTCCAGCCTGGTGACAGAGGGAGACTCAGTCTCAAAACAAAAAGAAAAAGAAACTTCTGGCTTTCATATCCGGTAGTGCTGCTTAAGTGGAGGCATTCATTCTTTTCTTCATGCTTTTGTCCACCCGTTCAACACATACTCATTCTGCCTAGCCAAGAGCAAGACAAATATGGTTCCTTCCCGCAAAGAGCATCTAAGATGTTGGTGGAGACAGACATTATGTAAGTAATTTGACGAGTGATTGATTACAGTTGTAAAAAGTGGTAGGAAGGAACCAGAGGATGTAACACGGAGACCTGGCCAAAGATGGGTGATATCACCTAAGGGCGGGCCCTGTGCTAGGCACTGTGCCATGCCATTTGCTTGCAACAATCTTTATCCTCATTTTACAAAGGAGAAAACAGAGGCACAGAAAGTATCCTCCCCACAGTCAGCCAGCCCAAGAGGAGCCAAGATTTGAACCCATGTCCGCGTGGCTCCAGATTCACAGGGTTAGCCCGGAGCACCATTGCTTCCAGGGAGGAACATATGACAGGGACTCAGGAGACCTCGCAGGACGTCTGCTGCTCAGGCACCATGACAGTTACACAGCTCAAAGGTTCTGAGTATCTGGGGGGTCGTGGACTCTTGAGAATTTCACAAAGTTATGTCCCCAGAGGAATGCACATATACACAGAGTTTTACACAAGCACCTAGGGGTCTACTCCCCAGTCCCTACTTTATCTGCTAATTTAGAATAAACATCTTAGCACTAGGTGGTTCTTGAGATCTTTCATCGTATGATTCAGGAAGCAGGAAAGAAACAGTAATAGAAACAAAATGTTGCAAGTACTTTCCTACAAGTGCAGTTTATTCCTAAATTTTAAGATTGGCCCCACATGGATGGAATGAGATTTCTTCTATTTGACATCATCTTTAGGAGGAAAGATTTTCAGTACAAAATCAGCTCCTGAAAATTATCTTTCTTTTTTAAAAATTCAGGATATAATTTCCAACATCTAGAAAATAACATTCTCTGTCCACAGTCCTTATCCTCTCTCTCCAGAGGGAATCACAATCCTGAATTTGGCACTTTTCATTTCCATGATAGTTTCTAGGACTTTACTTCATATACACACATGCTAGTGAATAGCAAAAGTGTTATTTTACATACTTTCAAACTTTACATAAATGGTATCACTTGCTTTTTTTTTTCATTTACCATTGGGCTTTTGAGATATATCAGTGTTGATATATGTAGCTGTATTTCATTTATCTTAACTGCTGTATAGTATTTAATTATCATTATCCATTTTTCTGGGTTTGGAATTTAGTTTATTTCTACATTTTTGCTATTATAAACTAAGCTGCAGTGAAATTTCTGTGCATATATTCTTGTGCAAATACGTGAAGGTTTCTTTCAGGCGTAGCCATGGAAGTGTAGTTGCTGGGCAAAGGATAGATGCACGTTAACTGCATTACATCCCGAGACATTGCTCCTGAAATGGTTCTAGCAGGAATGAGAATCCTCTTTGTTTCACTTTCTGATCATCCCTTGGTAGTATCAGATGTTTAAATTTTTGCCCATCTAGTGGGTTATGTGAGTTACTCACATAACTGAGTGGTTTCTCAGAGAATTCATAACAGAAAAAAATGTAATTAATTGGATGGTTCAGCTATGAGCAATATCTTACAAGATTATAATAATGTAAATCCTTAATACCACTGCAACCAAATATTCTGAGAGAAACCTATTTGGAGGGTGAGGGGTGAAGAAGTGTGTGTTTGAGTGTGTGTGTGTGTGTGTGTGTTGGTGGCCATCTAACAAAGACTGAGTTACAGTGTTCTATACTAGGTCAATACGATAAGGTCTAAAATTGAAAAAACATTCATAATTATGTTGTTTTAATAATATGGCAGTAAATATCAGAAACACAAGGGCTAAAGACTTGAGAATGGTTGTTTCCAGGAAGCAAGACTTGTGGGTGGGGCAGTTTACTGCTATCGGTTGTTGTAAGCCTTGTCATTCTGGTTGACTTTGTTTTCCCTCAATTCCATGCACAACAGGAGCAATGGGGCCCTCTGTCCACGCAGCCCACAGCAGCCCGGGAGCCCCCAGCCCTCCTCACTGCCAGGCCATCCTCACCGGGAGAATGGGAAGCAGCAGCGGTTCCCTCACAAAGGAGCTTGGGGTGGCTGCCACTCTCCACTGCCACCAGAACCCAAGAGCAGTGGATTCCCAGTGTCCCCACGAGCTGTGTGGTCCATGATGAGGTACTGGGCTGGGTTTCTTGGTCCCTGCATGTTTTCAATGTCCAGCATCACCTAGTGCAGCCTGGGATGCCTGGGGAAGTGAAGCACTGAGTCAGCACACTGTGACCTCCCTCTCT
Organism: Homo sapiens; assembly: GCF_000001405.40. Lineage (NCBI taxonomy): Eukaryota > Metazoa > Chordata > Mammalia > Primates > Hominidae > Homo > Homo sapiens. Next base: position 29,751,549 of record NC_000012.12, on the reverse strand, counting down.
TCATGCTTCCCTCCTTACCCCCTTCTTCCTGTCCCTATTTCCCTCCCTTCCTTCCCTATATTCTAATGGATAAGAAAGGAGTAGTTAGAGGAAGCAAGTGGAAGCCCTGCTGCCTGCCTGTGATGGGGTGTGGGTCCCTGCAGCCTCAGGCATCAGAAGATGGGCGCCCTACGTTTCCTGGGGGAGGAGAACGTTCTCCCTCCCCTTCTCCTGCCTCTCTCTCTCTGCTCTTTGTGTTTGATCTGAATTTATTACAGTCCAAATATGGGAGGAAACCCAGAGGACTCTTCCTTTCTGAAATGTTTTTGAAGATGTATGAAAATCTTTACAGCACATGACTGTCTTTATTTTCTTCCTTTTTTGTGATATTTTGACCTAGCTGTGAAAATTAGCATGGATTTATCAGCACAGGTGTTGCTCCCTAAATTAGGCTGTCTCTAAAATGTTTCAGGCCACAGACAAGTCAGAATATAACAGATATATGTTAAAAGATAAACTGAGGCACATTAAAAAGCTAAAGAGTTTATTTGAGCAGACAGTGAATAATGAATTGGGCAGCTCCAGACTGCCAGTGCTTTGGGGCTCCCCTGCTGGGACAGGGTGTGGGGAAGCTTTTATAGGGCAAACGCAGAAACAGAGCAAAGGAAATATTTGATTGGTTAAAGGGGAGTAGTAGCCCTATGTGGATCATTCCAGTGGAAAGTCCCTAGTTAGAGGTTAGTTAGTGGTTAAGCTTGGTTTCATTTTACCATTTACACTGAGTTGAGTTTCTCTGCTGATGTAGGGATGCAGGGTGCCAGAGTCACCTTAGCCTAATGACCTCTCAATTAGTTTAACATATGGAAATTCCATTCATAAGATTAGCACTTTACCACTTCAGATTGCTGTTGTTACTCTTCTGTGTAGTCCCTTAAAACTCCCTCTTTCTGCAGTCTTTGTTTCCAGTTATTCTTGCCTTTGCCTATGTTTGTTTTTTTATCTTGCCCCATTCATTCATTCTTTTGTTCATTCATCAATAAATATCTGTTGAGGGGCTGACAAGTGCCAGGCATGTTCTAGGCACCAGGAGTGTCCTGGTAAATAAGAAAGACAAGGTCCTTGCTCTTGTGTAGCTTTTCTTCTAGTAGAGGAAGGTAGACAATAAATAATCAACACTGACTGAACAATGTGAGTGCTCAGAAGAGAGTTAGGCAGGGTGTGATGGAGAGTGATGGCTTAGCCTGGGGGCATTTGGGTTGGTTGGCCAGGGAAGGCTTCCAAATCCTCCTGAATGAGGTGAATTGCCAGTGAAGATGTGCAGGGATCTGGCAGAGGGTTCCAGGCTTGAGGATCATAGCAAATTGGGAGGAGAAGGGGTGAGGGCAAGGAGGGGGCAGGGCACAGGTGAAGGGCTGTGCTGGCTGTGGAAGCAGGTTTGGATTTTATTCTGAGGGGAATGGGAAGATACTGGAGTTTGTGTGTGTGTGTGTGTGTGTGTGTGTGTGTGTATAGACAGTTATGATAACATTTCTTTTAAAAACGTTCCCTCTGGCCTCTTCGTGGTGCAGGCTGTTGGGGGCAATCATGAAGGAGGGAAAAGGGTTAGGAGGCTTTCACACAAGCTGAGTGAGGGAAAGGGGGTCTTAGCTGAGAGTCATGGAAACTGCAATGAAGAGATGAGGTGGATTTGAGATACATTTCTGATACAGACCCAATAGGACTCGCTAATTAATGTTTGTGATGATGGGGAGAGGGAAAGGAAGGAAACAAGGATTTCCAAGTTTCTGGCTTAACCAGGTGGGTGGATGGTGGCATTAGTTACTAAGTGGAAAAATTAGGGGAGTAATAGATTTTCTGGGGGTTGGGGAGAGAATAAAATCATAATAATGCATGAAATTCCCAAGGAAAAGGGAAGAGGAATAAAGGGTTAAAACACTGAGAAAATCTGGACATTTTTGTTGAGGGCCATGGAGGGAAAGAAGGTGAAACAATTGGGGAAATCGTGAATTTTTTAAATGGAGGCTAAAGGAGTACAGAGATCACTGGAGATGTTTAAGGTGGGACAGAAGCTAGGCTGCCATGTGACTATGAACTTGGTTAGGGCAGGTTCATGCCAGGGTGTCTCATAGATGTGTTGCCAGCTCCTGTCACAGTGTCTGGCCGATAACAGCTGCTTAAATATTTGTGACATGGATCAGTTGATGAGTGGATGATAAGAAAGTGTTGGAAATTAAGCATAGATGGAACATTTTCAATAAATTTGCCAATGAAGAAATGGGGAAAAGGTTGTTAGTGGGAGGAATGTTCATTTTTCTTTTCAGACGTGTGTGTGTGTGTGTATCCTTAGATAACCTGTAGAGAGGAGAGATGAATGATGCTGGAGCAGAAAGGGTAGGAAGAAATATGAATTCCTCTGGTATGCTGCTAATTGTTTAATAACTGGCTCTCCAAAGAACGGGACTCCTGATTTGTAGTGTTTGCTAATGTAAATACTCCCACTGTGGCTGATTGCAAGCTACGAGTGTGACTTCACTGACCATGGAGTTGTGAGAGCTGTCATAGTCCGCCATGATGCCATGTTTCTACCAGACGGATGCAATAGACATAAATAACCTCAAAAGCATAGATAATAGCAAAGTGAAGCAAAAAGCCAACTCAAGAGTAGTGAGCTTTGAATATGTACTACCTTGTTTAAAATATGACATATTTAATTTTAAGTTTATTTACTTGAATTTTTAATAATGGCTGTTTTTTAAGTAAGCGACTTGTAAAATTCCTAAAACTTTGTCAGCTCTTCCAAACCAGTGTCAGCCAGTTCCAGCACACCAGTGAGAAGGTCCCTCAGTAGGGGGAAGAAAACTTTCTATTATCCAACTACTATGTACCAGAAAGGGGGCTAGCATGTCCCATGTGTTATTCTATCCAACCACTGTGGTATCACTTTTAGGGTAGATGTTGTAACTCCCATTGCTATGAAGAAACTGAGGCTTAGAGGTTAAAAAACCTTGTCCAAGTTCACATAGTAAGTGGTAGGGTCAGGATTGGAACCCAGACTGTTTGACTCCTAAACTTGTGCTTTGACCATTTACTGTGCTCTAAAGCCCAGAGTCCAGAGCGAGGGCTAAGCTTTGGGGAAGAGGCAGGGTGCTTGTTTGATTTCTATGTGGAGCTGGCCTCTCCATTGAACTCTCAGCAGGTACAAAGATTCTTGTAGTCATCTCGGGTTCCACAAATGAGACACCTCTTGACTTGCTTCAGTATGGGGTATTGGTGCTAATACATTGAGCTAGGTGACATGCTTTGTAGATTACTTTTTCATCTTTTTAACCTCAGGTAGCAGGCTATTTTAGAAAGAGTGATGATTGGAGAGCAGCAGATAGCACAGCTGGAATTGGGCCGGATTCTCACTAAGTTAATGTATTTATGGTCCCGGACCATCTTCCCCCAATGGAAAGTTGTCATATATGTTTTCTCTTTGGAAAACAAAAAACAAAAAACAGTGTCATACCTTTGAGTATATATTTGATTACTGTTACAATTACTTTTGAAAATTGTGCTTGTACTTTTGTCAGAAGGTGATCAGGTAAAGCAAATAAAAGTTGGAAGAGGCAACGTTATCATAGTTCTTAAGATCTCTGACTCTGCAGACAGAGTGTTTAAATCATGGCTCTATCACTTACTTGATCCCAGACGAGTTATTTGATCTCTGTGAGCCTCAGTTTTCTCATCTCTCAAAGGGTGAAATGCTGGTTGTCAGGACTAAAAGCATTTGTACATGTATAAGCATGTAATTGGTGCCTGGCATACCATGGCCACTCAGCACATGGAAGCCAGCAGCGTCATTATTATTAGTTTAGTATTCTGAATATTATTTTCCCCGTATGGGTTTCTGAACACCAGGATGCATTATGAAAATGCTGAACCTGCAATATGCAGGCAAGGAATGAGTTTGTGTGCGATTTTTTTGTTGTTGTTCAACTTCAAAACTATTAGGACATAGTCATATGGGATGCATTGGTGTGAGGTTGACAAGAATTGGGCCAAATGTTATCAGGCAAAATATTGTTTTCAGAAGTTATCTAATACAGGGAAAAATCTAAGCCCAGGAAAAAATCCTACTGCAGGTCATTTATTTAGTTTGCCTATTTTTATGTGACTTACTGATTGACTTATGGGTAGAAAGTATAATGAAAAGCCTAGAGTTGAGAGTACCTACTCTAGAATCAGATTACATTTTAGTTGATGCTTCTTTTACTGAATTATTCCATGGGAAATGAGAAATGTTTTGTGTGTAAACATCCCCCAACATCTTAAATACATCAAATTCAGGCACACAGGGAAACACTTTCCCTTTCACATTACAAAGCCCAGTGAATTCTAAATGAAATCTTATCTTCATTCCATATATATATCAAGTATATACACACCTATATATGTATACTCATTCTTCATATATACTTGATTGGTTTCATATTTAAATGACAATGACCACAATAGGCATTGAAGACAGTTCTTGGCTCAATAAATTCTTGGACATTTCCTCTTTCCTCTGCTACCCTTCAGGGTATATTATGGATCATTCATTCATTGAATACTGTTTACTGAGCACCTACTATGTGTCAGGCACTATTTTTGGTGCTGGAAATATGGCAGTGAAAGAAACAAAGTCCTATCCTTATAAAACTTTATGGGATGATGATCATGATATTTCTACATAAAACGAACTCCTTTTCTACTTCTGTGGGCGAGATAATGGTTAGATTTTCATTTCAGTGGCTCTTAAAAGTTTTTTCCTGTAAATACCTTGCACATAGGTGTACAAATAAAAAAACTAAAACAAGTTTAGGACTAGAGAACAGTTTGGCACTAAAGTGAATTATAAGGTAATTAAATTCAAGAGACATAGGGAGGCATATAAATATTTTGACCTTCAATGATAAAATGGGTAGCTGATCTTTTAAGTGTCATTTTTATGTTTTATTGCTGTAGACCTTTCATCGTACTCTTTTTCCCCAAAGTAAGAAATGCTGTGCAAATTAAACTCCTGAGGTAGGCTTTTGAACTTTTATGTCACACGTTATGATTCTATGAGTAGGGAAAATGTGTTCCAGATTATTAACAGCCTCGTACCATCTTTGAGAGAAACCTAGTGAGCTAGTGATATGAGATTTGCAGGTGACAGAACAAATCTATGTTGAAAGCCTGTATTATTGATGAATAATAACTGGGTTCTCTTTCTCCCCTTTATACATCATATTCATTGATTGATCTCAGATGAGCCATTTTCAGTCTCATTCAGCTGCTGCTTTCAAAAATGAAATGACTGAATAAGAGGTGTGGAGTTAACTAATGGGTCCACACAGAAAATACATGTAACAGTTAAAAGTGAAGTTTCTAGGTTCATATTTTTTTAATAAATCCCACATCCCTCATTTTAAAATCTCTTAAAATATAAACCTCAGTGATGCACGTTAGAAACACAAACCACCTCGTGGAAGCAGATATGAACCAATATCTTACTTTAAAGGGTTGTTGCAAATTTTTAATTGCTGCTAATAGCTTTTTCCTTGCTTCCCTTGCTTTGTGTATAAATAAGCTGGTCCACATTTCACTATGGAATTCTCTCTTCAATGGCATGCATAGTTAAGTCTTTAGATGTAGTTTTTAGGTGACCGTATTCAGATCACTGTGAGTTATTTCCAGGAGGTAGGAGCATGATAGTGGTAGACCCAAGAAAGCAATAACTTTTAGGCTGAACTATATAATGACACTGACCAAACTAACCAGTATAATTAAAGTTACGTATTGTTAAACAACTTTATAACTGTTTATACTCAGGGTCCTGTCGTTCAGACACAGTACCCAAATTATATCTTTCCTAATCTTTATCCATATGCATTGCTGAGCTTTTTCCCTTCTTCAGCTTCTTTCTTTTTTTTTTTTTTTTTTTTTGATTGAGTCTCGCTCTGTTGCTCAGGCTGGAGTACAGTGATGTTATCTCGACTCACTGCAACCTCTGCCTTCTGGGTTCAAGTGATTCTCCTGCCTCAGCCTCCCGAGTAGCTGGGATTACAGGTGTGCCACCATGCCTGGCTAATTTTTGTATTTTTAGTAGAGACAGGGTTTCACCATGTTGGCCGGGTTGGTCTTGAACTCTTGACCTTGGGTGATCTGCCCGCCTTGGCCTCCCAAAGTGCTGGAATTAAAGTCGTGAGCCACTGCTCCTGGCCTAGTTTCTTTTTAATGTAGTGAATTGACCATCGTTTTTGCTAAGACCCTGTGCCCTTTGGTGTTCTGGGACTACAGGCACACTTGGTGAATGTTAGGGCACTGCAGAAGGGAGGTGGTTGATTACTGCAGGCAAATGACCTCCTATAGAGAAGGAAACAGTTTATTGAAAAGGGTAAATGAATGGCGGTGTTTTGCTATAGGTGTGACAGAAATGGCAGGAAATGTGTTTTAAAAAATAAAAAAAATTAAAGTTGGGCACTGTGGCTCATGCCTGTAACTCCAGCACTTTGGGAGGCTGAGGTGGGAGGATCGCTTAAGTCCAAGAGTTTGTGGCTGTAGTGAGCCATGATCACACCACTGCACTCCAGCCTGGATGACAAAGCAGGACTCTGCCTCTAAAAAGAAAAAAAAAAGTTAAGTACAAAACTTATTTTCAAAAATAAACTTTGTCAGTTAGTGTTAAAAGGCTTTTTAATTATGAACTGTGTTTATTGGAATAGTGTCATTACTGTGCCTTTAATGTTCTTTGGTGGGTTACTTACTCAAGCTGGTTTCCCAGGTCTCATTAAAGTAGCTTTTTTTCAAATATAGAACTTGCCAGAAAAGTGTTTTCTTTGATGGCTAGAGAATTTGAAGAAAGATTTTTGATTTTTCTGTTACTGTTTCTTAACCATTAATTGAGAAGGATCTTATCCCTTTTTAACCAGACCCAGAGTATGTGGTAAAGCAGGAAGTACCTTTATGAGTTCATCTGAAAGCTTCTTGGAACTCCACATTGGTTCCTGAACTGAGCTCAGCACTAAAGTGGATCATTTCAACAACGTGCTTATTGGCTTCATTCAAAAGTTAGCACTAAAAGCTTCTTCTAAATAAATCACATGCTAAGGAGGCAAAAATTCCTTTTAATTTATGGGTAGCAGTTGATAGTTTCTTTTATTTTATTATACTTTAAGTTTTAGGGTACATGTGTACAATGTGCAGGTTTGTTACATGTGTATACATGTGCCATGTTGGTGTGCTGCACCCATTAACTCATCATTTAGCAGTTGATAGTTTCTAACTGCTGACAGTCCCTGGTTCATTCTGCTTCATCTTGATTGGGTATCGGTTCTTGGCAATATTTGATCCCCTGTGAATTTCAGTCAGTAGATGATAAGCTCTTTCCTTTCTCAGTGTAGAGTAATCAAGCTTAGGCATCTGCCTTCCAACTGGATGCACAGGGACATATGTTGAAAGAGAACGCTGTCAGAACATAGGCATTTCTGGTTGGCATGCAATTCCATCACTGTCACAACAGGCTGTTGAAAGAGGATCTCGGGTCTCATGACTTTCTATCAGCTCAGCAGACACCATATGGAATACTCAACCCCTGGCCTGTGTGGGTAAGAGAGTGGCAGCTGACTCCAAGGCCACAAAACAGCTCTCTTCTTTTGCAGAACACAGCTAGTGCTCTTACCGTGCTGCAGGGAGTTAGCTGCTGATATCTTTGCCCTTTTAGTTCATGCTACTATCAACCAGTTTAATTTTTTTCTCTTTCTCTTTTTTAATGTAACCTACTGATAGATTGTGGAGGGATTGTAATAAAAGCTGTATCAGTTCATCTTAACATTGTAAACACTCAGGGGATATATAAATAATTTTTTCATGAGAACATTATTCTATGCTAGGTAATATATCATTGTGATTTCAGATAATTTGGTGGGCTTTCCAGGTTGTTGCTTGGAAAATTGTCTGGCACATGTTTTGATCTGGTACTATGTATTGTAGACTCAATATGACAGAACCTTAAAAATATACATGCTTAAATGAAATTTTTTTTTTTCAAAAATTGAAGAGGTTTGGAAGGACATTTATCCTCAGAAGAAAACCAGAATTTTAGAAGTGGAAATGATTTGAAAATTCTCTTAAAATTCAGAAGCAAGCATGATGATTGTGATTTTCATCATGATCAACATTATGAGTACCACTGTAGCACTTCCCAATGGCCAGGAACCATGCCTCAAATTTTACAGGTGGCTTACAATTTTGATTCTTGCGAAACGTATGAGGTTGGCAGTGTACATTACCAGTAAAGAACATGGACTCCTGCCAGAGTGCCTGGGCTCCAATTCTGCCCCCACTGCCTACCAGGCATATGATCTTTTACAGATTGCTTACACGCTCTGTGTCTCAGTTTCCTTGTGTGTACCACGGCAGAAGTAATACTAATACCTATCCCATGAGATTATTGTGAAAAACAAATGAGGTAGTACATGAAACAGCTTATGATAGCTCTTAATTGTGGGTTTTCATAAATGGTAGTGCTAGGATTTAACTCCCCTCTCCCATGTTTATTTTATGCGAAAGCCAATGTGGAAGAATTACTGTTTAGAAAGCTTTTCTTTTTACACCATTCACCTTTTCTTTGCTGTGTTAATGAAGGAAAGTTGTATAGTCTTTGTTTGACTTTATGGTATGTGGTTACCTCATTTTATGAGCTTACACTATTTTAGAGGGAAATAGATGATAAGAGAAAAACATTCATGTAGCAATGATGGCCAGTCCATCAAAGTTTAAGAGGATAATAGAATCCTTATGATAACACTTAATTCTTAACTGATGAATGCCATCCTTGTTATGTCTCAAAAGGCATATTTAGAGTTATTCTTAGTTTCTGAGACTAACAGCTGACCTTTTTTAAATTAAAAATTTTTGATGTATTTTGAATATCATCACTTTAATAAACAAATAATTAGGTTGAAAAGCAAATAATAAAGACTTAATTTACTAGCTTTTTAGATAGATGACCTTATAGTCATATGGTAGGATGTGTTTCATTTTGTAGATTTGTGAATTTTTGATACTATTTATATTATTCAAACCATGATGTTTATAACTTTATATATAAGCTTGGAAATGCATATTGACTTTGACGTCACCCTAAGCTACAGTCTTCATGAGCGACCTGTCATTAAAGATTTGCCCTTAGTGATTTAACCTATATAAGTCTTGGTAAAGTGTTTAAAATAAACATAAGTATAGACTTTTAAGAGCTGAAGGCAATTAATATATATAATTTGGAAAAATAAATAAATAATACAATCAAACCCAAACAGCCAGCCAGAGTTGGATGGAAGGAATAATGTTTGTGTCTTTTGTTAAGAGCTAGACATGCTCTAGGTAACTAATCAAAAACCAATATATTTCAGTGTTTGAGTGCTAGAGCTTCTGGTTCCTGACAGTAAAGTCTTTATCAGAGATTTTTTTTTTCATAGTTTTCATTTGGCTTCCTTAAGTAATTTTTCCTTGTGACTATGAAAGGAGTGTGATTTTGTGAAAGGAATGATGATTCACACTGCAATTATGATGGAAAAAAGCTTTGATTTTAAAAAGTGGTCTCTTTCATTATAAAACTTCAGTTTGGCTTGTCATGCAGTCAGGGAGAGGTTGTGCATTTATCCCCAATGTAATTTGTTTCTTCTTTATAACTGCCAAGGTTATAAAGGTAAACCATTCAGATAAGTCGAAATTGGGTGCCGATCTCCAGACTTTTCTAAGCAGGAAATGTAGACGTAATCATGGTTGATGACTAAGAGAACAGAATGTCTTGAGCATTAAAACGCTTTTCATTCTCCCTCATTATTGTTTTTGAAAAACCTGAACAATGGAAAGTCACTGATTAGTTTTGGGGTGTATGTGTTTTCTTTTTTAGAGAATAGCTATTTCTCAGGTTGCGCAAGAGACAAAGAAATGAGAGATAGCACAGGGTAGTGCAAGAAGCCTGGCTAGTGGGTGTTACTTGGATTCTGATTTGCGATGTCCCTTGGGCCAATTACTTTAGTTCCCTAGATCTTGGTTTTTCTTATCCATGAAGTGACACAAGGGAGACAAGCTGGTTGGCCTCACGTCATTTGATACTCTCTGGAAAGTCTGTTATCTTCAAACTCTTAAGAACTGTACTGCCAATTTTCCTCTTTTTACATGACCATACTCCATTGGCCTGTGTAGTTAGAAACTGTGTGAGAGTTAGAGGTTGATCCTAAAATGAGATACCATAATGAGAGACTCTTGTGACTACACAGACTTTGGAGGAAATTTTGCTAGTGTTCATTGTCATTTTTCTCTTTTCCTTTTCCATTGTTAATTTTTGCCTACTTAAGTCTTTGGAACTTAGCTCAAATGCAATGATGGAAAATGTCAATATTTAAAAAAGATTAAGTTTTGTGTTTTATGTATTTTGTCTTCAATAATCATAATGTAGTAAAGTTGCACATTGGCAAACTGATTTTTAAAAGGTATTTAATAAACATTTATTAAAAACTTACTCTATATACAAATGTCTTAGGGATCATTTGCTTGCGAGAGCAAAACTTTTAAAAGTTTGTTTAAACAATTTGCAGTATTTCTTAGAAAAATACACTAGACTCTAACAACACTTGAGGACATGTGTTGAACACGGTTTCTGGACACAGGAACTGGCAAGGTCAAAACATTTATATTTTTGCCTCTCTGGGGCTTCATAGTATCTCTGTCGCTTTTAAAAAAATTAATATTGTTTTCCTTTTTCCTTCTTTGTAAAGACTGACTTGGGCCGGGCATAGTGGCTCATGCATACAATCCTAGCACCATGGAAGGCCGAGGTAAGATCACTTGAGCCTAGGAGTTCAAGGCCTGGCAACATAGAGAGACCCTGTGTTAGTCAGGGTTCTCTTAGAGGGAAAGAACTAATAGGAGATTATATATATGTATCTATATATCTATATCTAAAGGGGAGTTTATTAAGTATTAACTTACATGATCACAAGGTCCCACAATAGGCTGTCTGCAAGCTGAGGAGCAAGGAGTGCCAGTTGGAGTCCCCAGACTGAAGAGCTTGGAGTCTGATGTTCGAGGGCAGGAAGCATCCAGCATGGGAGAAAGATGTAGGCTGAGAGGCTAGGCTTGTCTCTCTTTTTCATGCTTTTCTGCCTGCTTTATATTCACTGGAAACTGATTAGATTGTGCCCACCAGATTAAGGGTGGATCTGCCTTCCCCAGCCCACTGACTCAAATGTTAATCTCTTTTGGCACCACCCACACAGACTCACCCAGGATTAATACTTTGTATCTTTCAATCCAATCAAGTTGACACTCAGTATTAACCATCACAGACCCCATCTCCTCAAAATTTTTTTTAAAAATGAGCTAGGCATGGTGGTGCACACCTGTGGTTTCAGCTACCTGGGAGGCTGGGGCAGGATCACTTGGGCCCAGGAATTCCTGCCTAGAGTAAACTATGATGACACCACTGCACTTCAGCCTGGGCCACAGTGTGAGACCTCATCCCTTTAAAATAAATAGAGAAAGAAAGATGGGGGCTGGGAGCAGTGGCTCACTCCTGTAATCCCAGCACTTCGGGAGGCTGAGGTGGGCGGATCATGAGGTCAAGAGTTCGAGACCTCTTGGCCAACGTGGTGAAACTCTGTCTCTACTAAGAATGCAAAAATTAGCTGGGTATGGTGGTGCATGCCTGTAACCGCAGCTATTCGGTAGGCTGAGGCATGAGAATCTCTTGAACCTGAGAGGCGGAGGTTGCAATGAGCTGGGAGCATGCCACTGCACTCCAGCCTGGGCAACAGAGCAAGACCCCATCTCGGAAAAAAAAACAAAAAAGATTGACTTTTTAAAATTTGACGAGTGCAGGACCACTTCAGTGCCAGTTTCATACAGCCTCTCTGTTCAGTTCTCTGCAAGAAATAGACAGAATTCCTGTGCCCTGACTCAAAATTTTCAAAAAAGAGACTTGTTGGCCCAGCATGGATTAGCTTACATCTTGGTGGGGAAGTCATACAAATAAAAAGATAATTTCACTGAGGATGGCAAGTGCAATGCTTGAAGTATGTACACAGAATTATGAGATCACAGGAGAGGTGACCTTAGCCAGCTTGGGAAGTTTGGCTCAAGCTGAGTCTTAACAGATGAGACAATGATAGTATCTCCAGGCAGAAAGCATAGCTTGGGCAGAGACACAGAGGTGTGCAACTGCAGAATGCCTCTCTCTCTCTGTGTATGTGTGTGTGTGTGTGTACATGAATGCGTGCAACTATGAGCAAGCAGCTCAGGGCATGAGCAGTGGGAGATGAGGTTGGGAAGGGTAGGCAGGAGTCCTGTCATGAAGGAACTTGGGAGTGAAGTCAGAGGACTTTGACCCCTGGAGATGAAGGTTTACAGGGCAGTGGCAAGCTCATCTGAATTAGATTCCTATGTAGGAAAGTCTGATCACGAGGCCTGATGCAACATATGATTTAAGTGTGAAGATAAGAAAATTCAAAGCATTTGATATTGTTATATTTTTGAGAATGATAAAATGATATTTCTGAGATTTTTATCATAATTGAATCCCGCATATTTGTGAAAGCTCAGTATTTTGTTTGTTGAGGTTGTCTCATATAAAAATTTCTTTACCCATTTTTATAGTTTTGTAGAGTGTTCACATTTAAGAAAAGGTAACAGGAGCCTTGAGTGCATTTGTTTTCTTAGCCCATGATAGAGGGAAACTGTGTCATGTATCCATACATGTTAATTGGCTTGAGCCTTCTCAATTGATGATTGTCTTCTAAAGAACAGAAAATAATGGAAACTTCACAGGGTTGACAATCCATTTCTATTATTCATTCAGTTTGCTGAGTTTATCATTTTGATTTCCGGTTTCTGACTAAAATCATCATTTTTTTCTTATGTGTGTTGTGTCCAAGCAGCTGTTGTATTTTGTACTAGAGCAGATAATTGCTTTTCTTCTTGGCAAAGAAAATGAGCAGATGTGAAGTAAATATCTTTTTCTGGCTTGATCAATTGGAAGCTCTGCAGCCTAATATTGACTGCATTTTCCTAAGTGATGTAGCAAGTGCAGCTCAATGTGAGACTATAGCTGTTAACTGCCAGGCATTCACTTTGGCCAGACTCTTAGTTTTAGAGCTTCAATAGTGAGAAACAAAGTTCGGTATTCACGTAAGGAAAATAGTATGTTGACTAGAAGGGCCCTGTTGATGGAATTTTTCCCAAAAAATGATTTTAGAATTTCCTTCCTTGTTTACATTTAACAATAAGGAAGCTGTGGCGTGCTCAGGGATTAGGTACATGGATTCTGGAGTCACATAAAATGGGTTTAAGTCCAAGATTTTTCATTTAGTAGCAGTAAAAAGTTGAATTAACTGATTTCCAGGTCTATAAAATAAGAATAATTAGTAATAATTATTGTAAATGATGTGACATATGTGAAGACTCTAGCATGGGGCCCAGTACAACACAAGCACCCAATTGGCACTTACTGTTGTACCCTAATCTGAAGATAGTCAGTCTTCTACAGTTGGAGAAGAAAGGGAGTGGATAATAAGTTGCCTGTTCAGTAAATCTGTGGTGCTACTTTTCAGTGTCTTGCAAGATTGGCTTCATTATTCATGATCTCTTTCCCATTGGAAAGGAAAAGGGAGTCCCTGTGGAATGCCTATTGTAAGCCAGGAGGTAAACAGCGTGCAGCTCATTAACTGTCACCACGCCCTTGGGAAGTAGGTCTTCCTACATGTGGAAAGCAAGGCTCCGGGAGCTCATATCATTCGCTCAGCAGGACACAGCTGGAGAGTGGAAGACCCAGGATGTGAACCCACATCCATCTGATTCCACCATCTAGGCTGCCCCAGGCTGTAGAGGTCAAGCCCTTATGGTGTTTTCTGGAGACATTTAGGAGCAACTTCTAGAAAGAACTGTTGAGAAAGGCAGAAGTCTCCTGGGAGCAGGAATCTGTTTCCCCTTTTCCCTGAGTGGCTTCCCCCCTCCCGCCGCCCTTTTTTTATTTTTATTTTTTATTTTTTTGACGGAGTTTCACTCTTGTTGCCCAGGCTGGAGTGCAATGGCGCGATCTGGGCTCACCGCAACCCCCGCCTCCCAGGTTCAAGTGATTCTCCTCAGCCTACCAAGTAGCTGGGATTACAGGCATGCGCCACCAGGCCCAGCTAATTTCGTATTTTTAGTAGAGACGGGGTTTCTCCACGTTGGTCAGGCTGGTCTTGAATTCCGGACCTCAAGTGATCCGCCCGCCTCAGCTTCCCAAAGTGCTGGGATTACAGGCGTGAGCCACCATGCCCGGCCACCCCTGTTTTGCATGTTGGGTGCTGCTGCTCTGCCTGGCTCTGAGCCATGGCATCATCGTGTTGGAGAGAAATAGGATGTCTCTGTTCAGAGCACCCGGCTCAGCACTTTTCAGAAAGTCATTCTTCACCTTAAAGTGAAATGTCGGGTGCGACGTGTCACATTTCATCTGTAAGCAGTCTTTAAATACAATTTTTGAAAAGCTCTCTGACGCAGCAGTGAACTAGCTGTTGCGGGATAGAGGCAATCCTGGGCTCCTGATTATTCTGTCTGCTGAATGTTACGTTGGATGGTTGTGCTGCTCTTCGTGGAACTGCTTTACGTGTGGCATTTCTGAGACATGGATTGTGTGTGTTATGTGTGTATCTGGTTAAGTATCACTTTGTGGACATTTCAAAGTTAATGCATCTCTGTGCAAGCTTTTGCTGTGGGCATGCCAGCACAGTGTTGCACGTAGTCATGGTGGCGCACTAGTGAGTCACTAGCTTTTTATTTTTGTTTTTTAAGAGAGAGAATTTAGGCCGGGCCTGGTGGCTTACGCCTGTAATCCCAGCACTTTGGGAGGCCGAGGTGGGCGGATCACAAGGTCAGGAGTTTAAGACCAGCCTGGCCAACATGGCAAAACCCTGTCTCTACTAAAAATACAAAAATTAGCCGGGCGTGGTGGTGGGCACCTGTAATCCCCCCTACTCAGGAGGCTGAGGCAGGAGAATCACTTGAACCTGGGAGACGGAGGTTGCAGTGAGCCCAGATCGCGCCACTGCACTCCAGCCTGGGCGACCAAATAAGACTCTGTCTTAAAAAAAAGAGAGAGAGAGAGAATTTAAGTAAGGAAAAGGTTACTTTTCTTTATTTCTCCTTTTTTTGTTCTGAATAAATTTAAGTTATTCAGGGGAGTATGAAAAAATAATGTGATAAACATCCATATTCCTATTGAGTCATACTTTTTCCGGTCCTTTTTTTTTTTTTTTTTTTGGCTTTACCTAAGGAGTGAAACTACGGGTGGAGCTCAAGTCTACCTTAACATAGCCTTTGGTCCCATTGCCTTTGCTGTCTCCTCAGGGGCAATGCCTGCCCTGGGCTTTCTGTATATTGGCTGCTTTCTGAGCCCATAACGATCTCATGTAAATTATGCTTCACCCTTAGTTAATCTGGTCATACAGTTGATTTCCCCAGAGAGAATGGACTGGACGATCTATGTGGCCAGGAAGAAAATGTACCCACAGGAATCCTCAGGTGTCATCTTGTCTTAATCTCCTCAACCTACAGTCTGTAATAGACCCGAGGAGACTCTACAAATCCGAAGTAACCCAGAGAGAACTACTTTTCCCAAGCCCCAAATTATGCAAGGCTGACTCAGAGATTTGTCTTTTTTGTTCGTACATTGTTTTCACCTACGGCAACACCTGCTACACGGTTGATGCTTAGCTGGAGGTAGGTGGATGTGGCCCTCCCAACCTCCTACTTGGTCCGGAAGCTGCATCTGCACCAACAGTGACTCTTAGCAATACCCAATGTACATTGTGAGGCTTTGAACTCAAGTTAAAAATGCAGTCTTCCTTCCGTGCCTGTCAACATTGATGCTAGAGTATTTTATGAAATGGCCCTGCTTCAGTGAGTATACTTTCACAAGAATTTATTAAACACCTATTACATAATGAGGTAATAGTTTTACTGTATATAATCCTGGATTCCAATAAATAATTCTGCAGAATATATTGAGCATAATTAGTAATACAGCTGACATTTATTGAGTGACTACTATATTTGCCTACTCTTTTCAACACTTTATGTAAATTAACTCACTTAATCCTTATAACGACTCTATGTGCTTGGTGCCATTCTTATCTGCATTTTGCAACTTCAGTAAGGGAGCCATGGGGAGGATAAGTAATTTGCCCTGCAAAAATGCAGCTAATAATGGAGAACCTGGAAATCAGGCCCCTGCAGCATGGCTCCTGAGTCTTAATTCACTCTGTTTTTCCTGTGCAAGCAGAAAGCTTGTTTTGATGGGAAATCTAATAACTTTAAAAAGTGATCAGTTTAAGGATAGCACCTACTTAAAGAATGCAGAGGACTCTGTGTCTTCATGCAGGTCTATATGCTGAATGTGTGTTGCTGTTTTCTTCTATCATGTGCTTTACCTCTGCTCACCTAATCCAGGTTCAGCTTAGTTCTGCGGTTGAATGTGAACACGGTTGGCATATGCTTAGTTGTTTAATGGTTAGATATTTTTAACTAGTGTAGAAGAAGCTAACGCTTGTAACAGAAGCCAGATACTAGTGAGAAGCAGAGTTCACACACACAGATTCAGCACGTTATGTTCTGACTATATTTATACAGAGTTGGAATAGATCCAGCAGTCCCAGGCAATCACTTTAATCAGTTAAAAGTGGCAATAGATGGTCTTGAAGCCGAAGGAGTCATGCCTCCTGGAAATATTTACCGTAACAGCTTCTGTTCCAAAAAGGAAAAGAAGAAAATAAAAACTCTAAATAACCAACTACTGAAATTAAAGCAAAATTAAGTTATTATTTTAAATGAGCTTTTTGAAAAATCGCTAGTGTGGCAGCCCAATAGGAAAGGCATGAGAAATGTGGTATATTCTTAAAGTATTTTGCTCAGGTATTTTAAAAATATGATTCTATATGTGGATCTATCTGTGTCTATATATAGGCATCCTCCGTTTGGTTTGTAGAACTGTCAAAATAACTTATGATCGTCTGGCTTATGGACACAGGTTATCCACCTGCTTACTGCAGCAGCCCAAAGGCAGAGCATGCCAAATGGTGGGACATGCAGGGAGAAGGACTGGTATCCGGGAAGGGTCAGGAGTTCATCCATATTAGGAGTTCTTGTGTCTCCTAGAACCCACTTGAAAAAATCAGAGCATACCAGTTATTCTTCAGGTTAGTAAATGCGTGTGACCTTTATTAGAGACAGGCAAACTCAGCAGGGTATTTCAGGAGAAATAAATTATCCCTGTGAATAATTTGTACTTTCCTGGAAATTAAGAGACATGTGGAAATGTAAGAAGACAAAAGGCAGTATTGAATTAGGAAAAAGAGAATCATAGTTTAAGTAGATACCTTTTGTCTGCTCAGTGGGAAAGCAGTGTGCCAACATCTATTTTAGGACACATTCTGTACCTGGGCAAAGTAAAAGAGAATGGGGAGTATTGCATTATGAAAAGGCACAAAGACCTAAGCAGTAATATCAGAAGCAAGACATTTTCCCCAGTAAAGTCTTGGATGTAGGTCTTCAAAGAAAAACAGATAAACAACTTCAAGTGCATTAATATGTTGTGGAAACTGCAATGAAAAAATAATGGCCTTGCATTGTCAAAGCAAAGACATGGGAAGCTTAGCAAGTAAAACAATAAAATGAGCAGAGCGATATTGAAACAGGTGAAGAAAAGAGCATGATGTGTTGAGTTCAGAAAAATTATTGATGGCACAGAAATGGAGAGAAAGACTGATGAGTGAATAGAGAAGTAGCTCATAAGAGATTCAAGCTCACACTGAGGCATAAAGCCAACCTGACTGCAAATTTTGTCAGGTTGCAGCTAGGAGAGTGACAAGGCAGAATGTGTTCAGAAGATGGAAATTTTTATCAAAAGCTGTTAATTCTAGAAGGAATATTGGAGATAAGAGTGTGGTGAACAGCTGGCACTTTAGCCTGACTTGTATAGCCTCCCTATGTCACTAAAATGGCTGTCAGCTCTTTGG
This sequence comes from Homo sapiens, assembly GCF_000001405.40. Classification (NCBI taxonomy): domain Eukaryota; kingdom Metazoa; phylum Chordata; class Mammalia; order Primates; family Hominidae; genus Homo; species Homo sapiens. The sequence continues at coordinate 29,733,508 of NC_000012.12, read as the reverse complement.
TGTTAGGCATAAAAATAATGTGATAATAAGTGAACAACTTTTTAGAGGATGTTAAGGATTTCCCTTCATTATGGCTTTTATGTTAACCAAGGGCATTCTCATAGGTGATTAAGTCACATCAGGTAGGCCCTAGGCCTGGGTCTGACCCACGCAGTTACCCCCTCAGGATTCTGAGAAGGTGAGAAAGGAGGACGTGAAGGAGGCTCTGTGGAGCCAGACTGCCTACTTCCGCCACCCACACCATCTGTGACTCAGCAAGTTACTCAACCTTTCTAGACCTCAGTTTCCTTATGGGCAAAATGAGACTAATGTAACATCTCTCTCATAGGATTGTTATGATGATTAAAGCAGGTAATGCCCAGGGCTTGACATCTCATGTTCCATATTTTGCATGGGAGAAAATTGAGTTCAGAGAAAAGAACTTGTCAAAAGTAACACATGCAGTCACTATTTGAATCCAGGTCTTTCTTGAGCCAAGTCCACGTTCACTGTACTGGGAAGCTCAGTATATATAGGAGAAGGTACTGGAACATTGTTGGAAACCTACAGCTGAGTATAGAGGTGAGAGGCTTTATCCTGGAGGCCCTCGAGCATAATGAAATTATGTGGATAAGAGACCAGTTCCAATCTGTGTTGTTGGACTGACTTTAAATGGCATGAGAAGCCTGCATAAAGGGGATGTGGGGAGTGGCCTCCTCCCTCTGGACAGGGTGATGGGCGTTGTTTGCCAGAAGAGTGATTTGTTATGTCACTCTGCACCAAGAGCCCTTTAATGATGCCACAAGGACACCCAGACCCCTCAGCATGGCTAATAATAGGGCAGACTGTAATTTTTTTTAAATCCCGTACTATATGCTAATCACTATGATAAATGTTTTGCAGTTTAATACATAAAGAGTCTCTTTTGAGATCAGTGCTGTTATTAACATTTTGTGGATATGGAAATCCAGGCTAGTACATAGCGGGACCAGGTCTACAATGGGATTTCTCTGGCCTTTAAGGCAATCTCTGAACCATGCTTTTATGGTGTCTTTCTCTTGGTGTTCATAAGCTGATTGGCTTCCAGCCCATCTGATTATCCTCATCTCCCAATACTTTCCTACTGGAAGGGCTTACTGTAGCCAAATGTCTCTGCTCACTCCCACTGAAATATACATTGTGTTTCTGGTTGCCATGGTTTTTCCTTTCTTGTCATCTACCTCTGTACTTTCACCTTTTCCACTCACTCAGTAACTTCTTCCTGTGTAAAGTCAGTCCTTTGAGTACTCTTTCCTGAGCACCAGTCTAGTCTGGTATCGCCTTATCCTGTGGCCCAGTGAATTTAGTATTGCTTTACTGATTTTGCAATTATCATTTGCTACCATGTATTGGTAACCTTTATTATGTGTGCCCTTTTCAAAAAGATTTTGAAGTCTTTCTAGGGTCTTTTAAAAAAAAGTTACAACAATGCTTAATACTGTGTATTTTACATAATTTATATGGAATAAATATTTAATTGACTAATTTCAGGAAAAGAATATTCTGATCAAAAGAAATAATCATAATACATATCTTTGTTTATAGGAATGGGAGTAAAGTTGCTTGAATATTATAGGAGAGAAAAAGGAATGAGCAGAAGAAAACAGTAGCCAAGAAAAACTGTATAGTAATGGAAAGAATACAGAACCATATGGGAATTCATATTCTGGCTTGGAAGAATTAGGTCAGTTGCTGCCAAAAATCTTTTAAGTGTGTAATAAAAAGTGGTAGCTACAATAACTGGAAAAATCTGTGTACATTTGGATAGCTGTATCGCAGCATTTCATTTCCTTTTTTTGTATTTAAATGGATCCAAAGTGTAAATTTTTTTATATATTGATCTACTTGCTTATCGAGTTATTTATATCCTACTGCTCATGGTCATTGCCAAGGTCTGATTGCAAAAATTCAAAAAATTGCAACCTCAAGCATAAATGGGATAAAAAGGAGCAGACAGTTCCTGAACAGTTTCTTTTCTTCTAAGAGCTTCAAGTTTACTCTCTACTGCTTTGCTGTTACGTTGTTTAAAATCCAATTTGCGGCCGTGCATTGTGGGCATATAATTCCAGCACTGTGGGAGGCCAAGGCAGGTGAATCACTTGAGAACAGAGTTTGAGATCAGCCTGGCCAATATGATGAAACGCCGTCTCTACTAAAGATACAGAAATTAGCCGGGCATGGTGGCAGACATCTGTAATCCCAGCTCCTCTGGAGGCTGAGGTAGGAGAATCACTTGAATCCAGGAGGCGGAGGTTGCAGTGAGCCTAGATTGCACCACTGCACTCCAGCCTTTTTATATAAATAAATAAACCAAATAAAATCCACTTTGCTAGACTTTTAGATTATTATCAGCCCATTTATTTGCTGAATTAAATTCTCTTTTAGTAAAAACGAGTTCACTGACAGAAAACTGCAGAAAATAGATTTTTGGTTTTTTGTTCATTTGACTGCATGCCTTCCTCCAAGTTCCAATTCATGATGTTCCTCAAGAATATGTAGTACCCACTCCTGTTCAATTTCTTGTTAATGGAATGATCCTTGCAAGGGAACCTGCTGTGACTTGCATAAAACAGGGATTTAAAAAAGTTCCTGCTTCATATTAACAAACACTAACAAAAATACCAACAATGTGAGGGCCTTTTGAACAAATACTGAATGGCATTTCCCATTCTGATTCCTTCCCGTTTTATACCCTAGCTGAATTAGTACTATGTTGAGAGTGAAGACTTTGGAAGCTAACAGCTGTTATTATTACTGGGTTTCCTGGCTTTTATTCTAATTAGGAACAGCTGAAGAAAGAGCAGGTGAAATCTTTGTTGGCCTCAGGAAATAATTAAATTGTCTTAGTGCTCGTAGCCACCATCCTCGCTGCAGATGACAATGCTGTCATCCGGTGATCCTTCTCAGGGATGGTTCTAAATGTAGATTCTCTGCTTGCTTGCAGTAAATCTGACTTTTGGAGAAGGAAAAGCGGGAGAGAAGAATCAATAGCATCTCCTGGTCTCTAGGCATGGGTATTATTTTGATGAAACTTTCAAGCAGGTGTGGAAAGATGACCTTGCAAAGCCCAAACTCAGAATTTTAAGTGACACATATTCCTAATAAGACATTTAGCTTAACCTGTTTGCCTCCTAAGAAATGTGGCTGTTTTCCAGGAAATTCATCTTTTAAAAAAGCACAAGCATGAATATTCACCTGTGGTGTAGTTCTTTGGCAGCTGGTGGGAATTAGGCTGCACGCAGTGGTTTGATCTGTCAGAAAAGCCACAAAGCTCACCTTCCTGTGTTTATTTTTTAAATCTCACTTTGTCAGGTAAAATATTTTCAGAGTCCTTGAGTTTGTTAAATGAAAATGAGTAGATTTGGATCCACATCTATATGCTGCTTGTTTCAACTGCACCCTTCTGCAAAGGCTCAGAGTCACTTGTGTGGCTTACTTCCCCCCATCCCTTGTTCTCGTTGGCATGTCCGCTATATGTAATCAGCAGGCTCTTGCTGAACCCCATAGTAAGCACTTCTGATTCAGGGTTGAGGAAAAGTTTTAATGAGAAGAGGAAATTATATTTATCCCTTTAGAAGGGCATCTGCTCTGTACCACACACAGTGTTAAGTCTGAAGATGAATTCCAAGAGTGCAGGGATCTTGTCCTTTTTATTTTACTTTCGTGTCCTCAGCACCTAGAATAGTATCTGGCACATAGTACACGTGCATAAAATACTTCTTGGGTGAATGGAAGGAGACATAGTGACCCACAAGAGGAAAGAGATGGCACATTCAAATTAGGATCATTGGAGGGGGATTATCTACAAAGGGACTGTTTACACCAGTGAGGCCGTAACCCCATGGAAGTCACAGCAGAGGAACTGTTATCACCCATAACCTGGGAAGCAAGAGTCCTGCAGAAGTCATTGTGATGGGAACCTTTGGTCCAGATGCCCTTGTGAAGGGATAAAGTCACCAGTCAGCCTGAGGTGACCTAGCAGTGAGGGAGTCTGGGTGAGAAACACCCTGAATTCTCTTCCTCCTGTCCTCTGCTCTTGGGCCAGGTTCCCCCTCGTGCATGAAACTAGAAAGCAGAAGGTAGGGAAGTTTATTGATGTGACCACACGGCTGGCCTTCTGATGAGAAGCAGAGTGGAGACTGCATCTGGAGCACAAACTGGAGAGATCCAGAATACACAGGAAATTCTCTGCCTCCAAGGAGCTCCCAATCTAGTAGGGAGACAGTGGAGTTAGCAGATATTCCAACATAATTTGAACAATAGTGACAAATTATTGAGAACGCTCACAAGAACCCTATAAGATAGGTTATTGTGATGATTTTACAGAGGGAAGCTGAGAGACGGAGAGTTTAAGGCATTTGCCTAGGTCACACAGTTGGGAAGTAAAGGGGTCGAGATTTGAACTTGGGAGTTTGTCTCCAGAGTCTGTGCTTTGCTGGATTGGAAGAGTTAACCTGTGGTTTAGAGCAGTGCTTTTTTTTTTTTTTTTTTTGGAGATGGAGTCTTGCACTGTCACCAGGGATGGAGTGCAGTGGTGTGATCTCAGTTCACTGCAACCCCTGCCTCCTGGGTTCAAGTGATTCTCCTGCCTCAGCCTCCCTAGTAGCTGGGGTTACAGGCACCAGCCCCCACACCCAGGTAATTTTTTTTTTTTTTTGTAGGACGGCGGTTTCATTATGTTGGCCAGGCTGGTCTCAAACTCCTGACCTCGTGATCCACCTCCCTTGGCCTCCCAAAGTGCTGAGATTACAGGCGTAAGCCACTGCGCCTTGCCAGAGCAGTGCTTTTTAAGCCTTCACGTTTTTGGGAATTTTCTGGGGATGTTGTTTCAAAATAATTCCTGGTTCAGCGGTCATGAGGCAGGTCTGAGAGTCAGCGTTTCTACCAAATGCTGCTCATCTGCTTTGTGTGACGAGGGATAGAGGACTTAGGTTAGAGACGTGGGGTCTGTGTCCTAAGGATAAGCTTCTGGGTAGTCATTCCTTTCCCTGACTTGTGAAATGAGCAAGTTGGGTGATTTTTAAGGTCTGTTCGAGCTTGTACAACCCTGCACTCCCTGGCTTCCCACATGTGGGCAGTTTGCTTTAGCTGCCATTGGCGTTTCCTTGGCCATGACTGTCCAGGAGGCTCCAGAGAGAGAAGCTGGTTTGCGTGGCCTCCTCCTCCCCACGTTCTGAATTCAGATCACAGCTCCTGAGCCTCTGGACTGACAGGATGTACTCTGCTGTCAGCTGTTTCCTTCCAACTCTGAGATCTCCCAGCATCTGGCTCCGCTCCCTTCTGCCCCATGGATCCTCACTCCCTGTCACAGAGGATTAGGGTGCTGGCTTTAACAACGGAGCCTGATGCTTAAGATACTACATTATGTCATTTATTTTGCAAACTGTAATCTCCGCCAAAAGTTGTAATATTGCTGTGCATCACAATAAAGCTCCTACTTTTTCGAAAGGGGTTTCTACTGCTATTGGGCGCGCAGAAGATACTTAATGTTGTGTGGCCAGTCGTTGCTTCGCTTTAAACTCCTAATTCTTAAATTAGCTGGGCACAGTGGTGCACACTTGTAGTCCCAGCTACTCGGGAAGCTGAGGTGGGAGGATAGCTGAGCTCAGGAGTTCAAGGCTGCAGTGAGCTATGATTGTGGCAGTGCACTCTAGCCTGGTCAATAGTGAGACCCTGTCTTGAAAACAAAACAAAACAAAACAAAAAACTGCTACAAATTCATTATCCTTTTGCAACAACTGCAGAATTGAGTGCCTGTGAATGGGAAGGAAAACAATAAATCCTCTTAATATTTGACATTCAAAATAAATTTCAGGGCCAGGCACGGTGGCTCACGCCTGTAATTCCAGCACTTTGGGAGGCTGAGGCGGGCAGATCACGAGGTCAGGAGATTGAGACCATCCTGGTTAACACAGTGAAAACCCGTCTCTACTGAAAATACAAAAAATTAGCCAGGCGTGGTGGTGGGTGCCTGTAGTCCCAGCTACTTGAGAGGCTGAGGCAGGAGAATGGTGTGAACCCAGGAGGCGGAGCTTGCAGTGAGCCAAGATAGCGCCACTGCACTCCAGCCTGGGCAACAGAGCAAGACTCCGTCTCAAAAAAATAAATAAATAAAAATAAAAATAAATAAATAAATACATTTCAGGGTTTTGGTCCCCCAAGTTCCCACACTTTCTCTCTGTGAGTTGGGGGCTCCTGCATCACTGTAATCCATAGCTGTACCTGCAGTATGCAAAATCTTTGACTCTATTTCAGAAAATCAGTCTGGGACCACAATACTGAGCCTTTCTTTGTCTTTTTCTTTTTGCTTTGATCATACAGTGCTATAGTACAGACTCAATAAATCACACATTGAATCTTACCAAATACAGAGAAGCTGAGACATTGTGTGTTATGGTTTTTATGCTGCATTTTGACATTTTGGGCTATTTATTTAATAATTGCATTTGAAGTTGCTCTCAGCCTCATCAGGACAGAGCAGCAGAGTTATACCCCTGCTGTGCTCAGCAGTGCATCCTGGAAGATTGTGGAGAAGGTTGTTAGCTGTCCTGTTTTCCTGTGTACATAATTCATTATCTCTTAACTACATCTAGTGCTACTTAAAAGTCGTGTAGATATTTGGAAGGGATAATCTTTTATGTTTACATTTAATTTCTTAATCTAAGTAAGTCTTCGGAACTTTAGGATAATCTCTAGATTGATGGTATTGCCTTGGCCTTCTGATTTTTTTCTGGTCTGTTTTCAGTGGCTGGAGAGCACCATGTTGGTATGGCCAGCATTTAACCAGGGATGGAATTTTTGGATTGTTAAAGGGTAAGGGATGCAATAGTGTCAGGTGTTATTATAAAGGTATAATGAGATTGGAGAGAAGACAGATCTAATTCCCAAACAACTGAAGAGAGTCTAGGGTTGGTTGCCCTCCTGGAGAAAGGCAGTCGGTCTGTACCTCTGTTTATATGCTTGTCTTGGCTACATGCCCTGTTTCCTCTTGAGCTCACAGAATCAGACGTAGATTGAAAAGGACTTTACTAAAAATCTAGGGAGAGCTTCTCTGGGGTTATATTAAGATTGGGAGATGGCTTGGAATCTCTGTAACTAACAGAGTAAATATTGTATTTAAATGTCCCCGATGTCTATAAAGAGCAGCTTTCATGTTAATTGCTATTGTCTTAGAGTAAAGAAAGATATCAAATACAGCTAGTGAGCTGGTTTGAGACATTGCACAGGCAGAAACGAGGGCAGAAATCTAGAATGATTTCATGAGACAGGCTGCTTCCCACCCCCCTCCTTAATTCTGTGCATCTCTGGCTCAGTAGCCTAGCAGCGCAGGGTGGTGTCCCCTGGGACTGACTGCATTGTTTTTTCCCAGAGCAATGCTAGATGAACCAGAACACGGTGTATGTTTTTAAATTCTGCTCAGGCCAAATACTTGGCAACCAACTCAGTCAGGCTGTGGAATCCTGGGCTTAGGTGGCTCTGTATATAAAGGCCTGGATCTTTAAACAGTTAGGAGAAGCCGGAATTCTTCTCCTTCCAGCAGGCAGTCTGTCTTTAGGATTAGAATGTACTTCTTTGCAGTAGCATTAGTAGAGAGAAAAAATAAAGTGTTGAATTTGAATATTGAGTTTTAGCAATTAGATGTCTTAAATGTTATTGTTTTTTCTCAGGAAGTCCGCTCCAGTGATGACTGTGAAATCTTATTTATAGAAGATTGAATGTTGTAGCAGATGATAGACCATTGTGAAATAGCAGATCAAATAAACGTTTTTCCTGAAATGTCAAAAACTTCATTACTGGAGCATCTTGTCTCCATAGAGCATGTAATTAATTATGAACCAGGAGTAAATAATATATTTTACAGGACTTTTGTCATTTATCTGGGTGCCATGTTTTATAAACACAATTATTCACTAGTAGTCTTTCAATTCTGCCTTTATTACATGATGATCTGCTAATTCAGAATGAGAAATTTCCACATTAAGTACTTGGCAGGACTGGGTGTGGTAGCTCATGCCTATAATCCCAGCTACTTGGGAGGCTGACACAGGAGAATCACTTGAACCTGGGAGGCTGAGGTTGCAGTGAGCTGAGATGGAGCCATTGCACTCCAGCCTGGGCAAAAAGCGAAATTCCATCCCAAAAAAGAAAAAAAAAGATCTTGGCAGGCCAGGCGTGGTGGCTCATGCCTGTAATCCTAGCACTTTCGGAGGGCAAGGTGGGTGGATCACATGAGGTCACAAGTTCGAGACCAGCCTGGCCAACATGGTGAAACCCCCATCTCTACTAAAAAAAAAACAAAACAAAAATTAGCCAGACATGGTGGCAGGTGCCTGTAATTCCAGCTATTCGGGAGGCTGAGGCAGGAGAATTGCTTGAACCCATGAGGAGGTTACAGTGAGCCGAAATCATGCCACTGCACTCCAGCCTGAGCAACAGAGCGAGACTCCATCTCAAAAAAAAAAAAAAAAAAAAAAAAGAACTTGGCAGATATATAGCTAAACTACGCTGAATTTTTGGTTATCATTTGTAATAAAACATTTGAACTTCGTGCCATTTTAGCTCATGTTCGTTGGTTTACTTTTGTATAATCTATTTATTTTACTTTAAAAGTTAAGCTTTGAGTAGATAGAGAATTTTTTAAAACTGTATGTAAAGTTTAAAAGATCCTTGTGTATTGGGTGTCCTTCTGCCAACCCATTCTCTTCCCAGTATCCTCAGAGGTAACATTATTGTGAATTTTGTGTTTATTTTTCTCTTACTTTATGGTTTCACCACGTTTGTATTCCTATATGATACATATATGTAGATGAATCATAAAATATATGTAATTTGGTGACTTGCTATTTTCATGCAACACTATGTTTCTGAGACCCATCTTTGTTATTGCTGGCGTCTAAATTCCAGTCATTTCCCAGCTGTGTAATACTCTATGTAATGCTGTGTAAGTTGGATAATGGCTGTATCACTTATCATCCAGAATGTGGTGATGGAAAGAAATTTGGGTTTTTACTTTTTTCCTGTCAATAGTGCTTTTGTGAACATTCTTTACATTTCTCATATATATGTACATGGATTTCCTTAGGTTGTATTCTTACAAATGACATTTTTCAGGTCATAGGGCATGTGTATCTTCATCATTATTAATTAGGCCCTATTTCTTCTCCCAAACTGGTTGTAACAATATATACCACACTCAGCAGAGTTTGCGTGTTCATGATGCTCCAGGCTCCTGCCAACGCTGATATATCAGACTTTAACATTTTCAAACTTGTCGTGTATGAAATATTTTCTAACTGTGTTGTAATTTGTTTTTCCCTAATTACTAATGAGATTGATCACATAGTCACATGATTATTATTGGCCACTTGGGATTTTTTTCCTGCGAAGCGCCTTTTCAAGTCTCTTGCTGATTTTTCTTAGGGTCGTTAATGTAGTAGAATTTGTCAGTCTGTTCCTCCAAGATTCACACTATATTCTGGTCTTCTCTATCTTGAGGTCATGAAAATGTTCATATTGTTTTCTAAACATTTCTGAAAACATACTTTTGACTTTTAAGTCTAAGGTCTTCACTTTACCTGAGTCCCCCTTCTTTACTTTTTTCCTTCCATCTTTTCTTTCTTGTTATCCATATGAATAACCAAATGTCTCAGTATGATTCACTGAAGCTCCAGTTCTTTACTACTGATCTACAGGGCCAAAACTGTCACAGATTAAATTTCTACTTACACATATCAGTTTCTGGTTTCCTTCTCTCTCTCTCTCGTTTTTTCCTTACAGACAGTAGAGACAGGGTCTTGCTTTGTTTCCCTGGCTTGTAGTGGCTCCATCTTAGCTCACTGTAGTCTTGAACTCCTGTGCTCCTGCGATCCATCTACCTCAGCTTCCCAAGTAGCTGGGATTACAGACATCTGACTAATTAAAAAAAAAAGAAAAGTACAGATGGGGTCTCACTATGTTGCCCAGGCTGGTCTCTAACTCCTGTGCTCAAGAGATCTTCCTGCCTTGGCCTCCCAAAGTGCTGGGATTACAGGTGTGAGCCACTGCTCCTGGCTTGGTTTCTCTTTTGTGTTCCTCTGTCTTCCATGCTAATACTACCTAGTCTTAATTATTGTAGCCTTAAAACAATTTAAATAACTGTCATAATAACTGCTTTGTAGGTCTTTATAGTTGTCTTCATTATTTTATGAAACTTTGCTGTTTTATTAAAATTTTAGAAGTTTTTATTAGAATTATGTTGAGACTATATAGATCAATGTTGGGAGAATTGACATTAATAATACTGAGTTTTCTTATAATGGATAAGAAACTGGATATACTTTTCTGACTATTGAGCTTCTTTAGTGTCTTTTCGTGTTCTACAGTTTTCTGTGTAAAGCTCAAATCTTCTTAGACTCCTTATTTTTTGAAACTCTTATAAAAGGTACTCTTTATAATTTACATTTTTTAACCTTTTAATGCTAGTGTATAGAAATAAAATTGATTTTTGTGTCTTAATTTTTTTATTTAGCAACATTGCTAAACTTTCTAGTTCTTTTCTTTTTTCTTTCTTTCTTCCTTTTTTTTTTTTTTTGAGACAGAGTCTTGCTCTGTTGCTCAGGCTGAAATGCAATGGTGCGATCTCAGCTCACTGCAACCTCTGCCTCCCGGGTTCAAGTAATTCTTCTGCTTCAGCCTCCCAAATAGCTGGGACTATAGGCGCGTGCCACCACACCCTGCTGTTTTTTTGTATTTGTAGTAGAGATGGGGTTTCTCCATGTTGGCCAGGCTGGTCTTGAACTCCTGACCTCAGGTGTTCTGCCCACCTTGGCCTCCCAAAGTGCTGGGATTACAGGAATGAGCCACTGCGCCCGGCCTAAACTTTCTAGTTCTAACAGTTCATGAATAGAATCTTTTAGATCATCGACATATACAATCATACCATCTTTAAACTACTTCTTTCTTTTTAACCTTTATAATTTTTGCTTATATTTTTGCCTATGGTTCCATCTTAGACCTACAATTAGTGAACAGAAGCAGTGAAAGAAGGCAGCTTTGTCATTACCTGGTCTTTAAGAGATTATATTATTGGTTACCAAGTAATTTCATTGTCATCACAGAGTACGGCTTTTAACATATAAATCTTTAACATGTGTTTAGACTTATTTTATGGCCCAATATGTCATCAAACCCAACTGGGCCATAAAACTCAACAGATCACCACCGCTCTTTTGTGGATGATCAACATTTATAAAAGTTTCATGTATTTTCTGCATTGTAGGTGCAAATTCCTGCACATTATACACTAGCAGTTGTCAATATATCATCTAGGGACCCTGAAGGTTCCCCAAGACCCTTTCAAGGGGTCCATGAGGTCAAAATTATTCTTATAGCAATACTAAGATATTATTTGCCTTTTTCTCATTCTTTCATGAATGCACAATGGAGTTTTCTAGAAGCTACATGACGTGATATTGAAACAAAATGAATATAGAAGCAGATAGTAGAAGGATACAATAGGCATCTATTAAGCCAGATGTTAAGGAGATTTCCAGAACTGAAAAACAAAACCCCTTTATCACTGATTTTTTTTTGTTTTAGAAAATATATTTTATAAAATTTATGTTAATGTGAAATAAGCTTATCATTATTTAAAAATTATTATTAAAGAAATATTTCCTTAAATTATGTTTTAATTTCTTATATGGTAGATATCAACAGAAATAACCTATATACATAAAAGCTTTTTAGGGTTGTCAATAGTTTTTCAGGATGTAAAGGGGCTCTGAAACCAAAATTTTTAAAAAGTGCTGGTGTATAAGAACAAGCTGGTTAATGGTGTTATTTAAATCTTTTATGTTGTTATTGATCTTTTTGATCTCTCAGTTGCTGAAAGGAGTGTGTTAAAATTTTTTCATTAATGTAGATTTGTTTATTTCTCCTTGGAATTCTGTCACTTTTGCTTTATATATATATTTTCAGGCGGTGCTATTGGGAGTAAACAAATTTAGAAATATAATATCTTTTTGGTGATTAGAACCTTTTCTCTAGTCTTTGTATTAGAGTTTATTGTGTGTAAAATAGCTAATTTGTTATAACTATGCTAGATTTCTTTGGGTTAGTGTTTGGCTGATACATTTTTCTATCTTTTCAAACTTACTCCCTTTTCAAACTTTTATCTTTCAGGTCTGACTCTTATAAACAAAGTGGAAAGTTATTCAATGTGTCAGTAAATACAGTAGATCTCTCATGACATATATCCTATTATTATCAAGTAGTTTATTCCCATCTTGTTTTTGTAAATCTCTCTCTCTCAACACACACACATGCATACACATACCTCTTAATAAGCACTTTCTACTAAAAAATATTTCCAAAATTTCCTGAAGTAGGTGTAAGACAGTGATATACCCCTTTAGTTTTGTATATTTAAAATATCATTATTTCAATTTAATTTTTGGAAGATTTTTTTAGGGATGTATTTCTGATTTGACAGTTATTTTTTTCTCAGCTCATTGAAGCCAGTGTTCTGTCTTCTAGCTTCCATTCTTGGCTTCAGTAGGTCACCACTCTGCCACTTTTTTTGTATATAATCAGGGTTTTCTCTTTGACTACTTTTAAGATCTTTTGTCTTTGATCATCTGCATTTTCATGTTGGTAGTTGACATGTGGATATATTTTTATTTATCCTGCTTGGGATATGTTAGGAATCCTGAACCTGTGGAATGGGCTTCTTGCCAATCTGGAAAACTTGTGGCCATTGTCTGTTTTAATACTGCCTCTATTCATTGTTTATCTTTTTCTCTTGATCTCGTATTGAAGCATGTTAAATTTTCTTACTCTCCCCCATTTCTATTAACTCTAGTTTCATATTTCTATCTTTTTGTCCATTTATATTATATTCTCCATAATTTAATTAAGTCTAATTTCACTTTGTTAATTCTTTTATCATTTTGATTTGTTGTGTTCATAAACCTGTCCATAGAATTTAATATTTCAGTTATGCTTTTTATTTCTAGAGGTACTTTTTGTTTATATTCAAATCTTATTGGTCTTTTTTATATTACTTTCCTTCTTATGCATATTTACAGATCTTCTAGACATTATAGAGTGAGAAGATGTGAAATTCCTAAGAGCAAACACACTGGGCCATCTGGCACCATATTTATTGGGAGAAACTCACCGAAACAGGAGGCTGTGCAGATGTGCTCAGCTCCCTTTCCCACTGATTATGGAATATGCTCAGGGATCTAGCTTGGAGAATTGTAAGACACAAGGAGAAAGAGTATGGATTTAGTGTTGTGAAATGTTTAAGCTGGAAGACTGGGATAATACCACTCCTTTCCTAGCACGACACATGAATGGAGTTCAAACATGATAGCATTATGACCTAACAAAACCTTGGCCTCTGTTCTGCCACCTCAGAATTCATGGTCGAGAGAGCACCAGCAGATCCATTTTTAAGTTACTGAGTCCTCAAGATGGGGTTGTTCCTTAAGACATGCAACCCTGGTTCAAAAGTCACTCACTAAGCTGTCAATAAAGAAAACGTAAGGCTCATTCAGTTCACATGATATCCTAGTTAGACACAGGAACAGATAGAGGTGAATTTCTTGTTCTGGCAATACTGCAGCTAGATCCTCCTATGGAAAAGCAATAAAAACTGCCAGATAAAATATTTTCTAAAATCCACTTTGTGAGTATACTGATGAGCTAAGTAGTTCTCAGAAACCAAAAATCAGGTGAAAGCGGGACATTGAAAAGGTAAAAGGACTATGAAAGCATTCATTAAGTAAGGTCGTAGTTGAGCTTTCTAAAAAGTCCGTGGCCTTGCAGGCATTGCAGAATAGAAGAAAAAAGCCCAGTGACCACCCAAGAGGGAGAGTCAATGAGAGACATCCTGTCTCACTGCATAAAGCTGTGATTCTCAAGGGTTACACCCTCGCTGTGAGGTCACCATAAGGAAATTTCACTGACCTAAGCATTGACATTGGCTATGCAGGGGAAAGAGTTCCCTTGAGGATGTATAATCACAAACCAGCCAGCATAAGGTTTTATACCTTGAATTCATACCACCGTATTTTCCAAAAAAACTTCAAGTGGAAATTTAACATACTCCTGGGTTTTGTACTATTCCCAGGCAAATGGAGCAAATCATATAATGCAACCCAGGCATCCAAGTATTCACAAAGAAGAAATTCCAAGAAATAAGAGCTCAGTGCTATAATTTAAAAATGCACGAGTGAACAAAACACCATGAGAAAGCTTAAAGATAAAAACCAGATGCCAAAATTAGACCCACAGACTTTATAAATAGAGATTATCTGAAATAGAATATGAACTTCTGTATTTTGTTAATTCTACAATGCCACCAATTTTCAAATGCACTATTATTTTATTTACCACAAAAAAGAGAGAGAGAAAACACTGACAATTACAATTGTAAGCTGCATTCCAGTCTCGAAGCAAAAATGTGGCTTGTTTATTATTTCTTCAGATCGTATCATTTCTTTTTATTTATCTACAGGTTTACTGACTAATATGCTAAGTCCACTCAGTGAACTTTTTTTTTTTTTTTTTTTGAGATGGAGTCTCGCTCTGTCACCCAGGCTGGAGTGCAGTGGCGCGATCTCAGCTCACTGCAAGCTCCGCCTCCTGGGTTTATGCCATTCTCCTGCCTCAGCCTCCCAAGTATCTGGGACTACAGGCACCCGTCACCACTCGTGGCTAATTTTTTGTATTTTTAGTAGAGACGGGGTTTCACCGTGTTAGCCAGGATGGTCTCGATCTCCTCACCTCATGATCCACCCACCTCAGCCTCCCAAAGTGCTGGAATTACAGGTGTGATAGAGATTCTTAATTATTTTATATTCCTCTCAATATAATTGATTGTGTTTGTTTTAGTAGTCAGTTAATTTGGCTGAACTTGAACTTCCCAACTGTATCTCCTGCAATGGGATGGCATCTGAAATCCCTGTTGAGATCTTACAGCCTTACCAGGGCTATTTGGAGTTCTGCTTCACACATGTAGGCCAGAAGTCGGCCAGATATTTGAGCAGAGATTATGCAGAATTGGGGACAGTCTTCTGTGACTCTCTTCTTTACAGGATTTCCTCTTCGCTTTACAGTTATCAAGGCTGCTCTGGATTCTGTCTTTAAATTTTTCAAACTAATAAAAATAGGAGTTTCTATTAGAATCTTAGCTGCCCTGCACAGTGGTGCCAGCTGTCCCTTCCCCTCAGATGAAAAGCCACAAAAAACAGGAAACTTTTCATACTGTTCCCATCTTCAAAGTATTGGTTCCCTTCTGGTTTCTGCCTGCTTTTGATCACTCTCCAGTACCTTGAAGCACTTATTTTCAATCTTGTGTACAGAGTTTTAAATGGTGGGATTTTTTGTTTGTTTGTTTGTTTTGGTGAGTGTGTTGGTTCAATACAAGATACTTCGCCATTAGCATAAATATTACCTCCCTTTACTTATTTTGACATTTTAACTGATGGATTGTACCTAGGAAAACAGTGTTTATTTTGAGTGGTTTCATTTATTGCATGTGATCTGCATTGTATTGTAGAATTTTTCTTTCTGGTAAGTATCTGTCATCACTTAATCATAAATCACATGCAAGTTCAAAGTACAAGTTTCTTAATTGAAGAGTAATTATTATAATAATCACTTGTAATAATTAGTTATAATGATGTGCATGTCTTTTCATTTGTGGAAGGAATTATAATTCCCAATATGACAAAACTTTGAAATTCCCTTAATAATTACTAAATGATTATGACTCTATCAAGTTGCAAGTGACTGTTTTGGAATAGTATGACCTCATATCTAATATGAGGCATTTAAACTAAATAATACAACTGCTAACTCTCTTCAAACCCTTAGAATTTTCTAAACTAATTTGTTAAACTAAATTGTTAAGCTAATGATTAGTTTTTACTTTGGAACACAGGTTTGTGAAACTGTGCATTAATAAAACCTGATCTTTTTTTTAAGTTAGGAGGAAAGCTACATTTTCAGTGGAACACTGCCTTAGTAAGCAAACCATGATAAGGTTGCAACTGAGGCTGAGCCATTACAGGCAAGTTTCACATGCACCACTCAATTTAGACCGGGTGGATTTCAAGCTGTTCTAGGAAAATTCTTCAGGCTAAGAAGAGGGCTCTTTCTTATAGTCCAGGGCAGTGCTCTTTAAACATTTTGGTCCACTTACTCCGTAAGTTTATTTTGAAATCCCGTGAACGCCTTCTCACATTTATATTGGCACCTAAAATTTTTCGTTGTAAATGCTCAGTATTTACAAAGAGTATAATTTCCCATATGTTGTTGATGTTGATAATTTAATATAAAATTGTTAGATCCTTGTTTTAAATATGTCAAATGGAATATAAATACTAAAAGTGATTTATCTACCATTATATTTTAAAAATATATCAATAAGCTCGTCTTTTATCTCTTGGAATTTTTGTTTGTTTGTTTGTTTGTTTTTTGAGACGGAGTCTTGCTCTGTTGCCCAGGCTGGAGTCTGGAGTGCAGTGGCTCGATCTCGGCTCACTGCAAGCTCCACCTCCCAGGTTCACGCCATTCTCCTGCCTCAGCCTCCCAAGTAGCTGAGACTACAGGTGCCCGCCACCACACCCGGCTAAGTTTTTGTATTTTTAGTAGAGACGGGGTTTCACTGTGTTAGCCAGGATGGTCTCGATCTCCTGACCTCGTGATCTGCCTGCCTCGGCTTCCCAAAGTGCTGGGATTACAGGCGTGAGCCCCTGTGCCCGGCCAGCTCTTGGAATTTTATATTATTCTTTTTCCATTTTGAACTAACGTTTTTATTCCATTTGGCTTGTAGAATTTTATTTTAATTTTATACAATTTTATGTTTTCATTAGTCACTGTATTATATTTCTTTGCAATAAAAAAATCTATAAATAAATTAGTATGATTTTTAAATTTCCCATATCCTTAGGCTCTAAATATTAAAATTTCTTCTGTATTAATTATGAATATTTTTAATAAACAATTTATTAAAACAGTATTAATGTTATTTTTTAATCTTTGAGACAGCATAGTGTAGTAGTTAAAAGCACATACTCTGGAGCCTGAGTAAATGGTTTCAAATCTCACCTCTAACTCTAGTTGCTCTAGACTTTTCGTTGCCTTATCTGTAAAATGGAAGTTCAAAATAATGCTAGTCTCTGGGTGTAGTGGCTCATACCCGTAATCTCAAAGCTTTGGGAACCTGAGGCAGGTGGATCCCTTGAAGCCAGCAGTTCAAGACCAGCCTGGGAAACATAGCAATATTCTATCTCAACAAAACAATCTTTAAAAATTAGCCAGTTGTAGTGGTATGCACCTGTGCTCTTAGCTACTGGGGAGGCTAAGGCAGGAGGTTGGTCTGAGCCTAGGATTTCGAGGCTGCAGGAAGTTATAATCTTGCCACTGGACTCCATTCTGGGTGACAGAGTGAGA
Organism: Homo sapiens; assembly: GCF_000001405.40. Taxonomy (NCBI): domain Eukaryota; kingdom Metazoa; phylum Chordata; class Mammalia; order Primates; family Hominidae; genus Homo; species Homo sapiens. Next base: position 29,716,045 of record NC_000012.12, on the reverse strand, counting down.
CCCTGTTTCTAAAATAATAATAATAATAATAATAATAATAATAATAATAATAATAATACTGAGTTTGGCTGTGTCCCAATCCAAATCTCATCTTGAATTATAGTTCCCATAATCCCCACATGTTGTGGGAAGGACCCAATGGAAGGTGATGAATTATGGGTGTGGTTTCCCCCATGCTGTTCTCATAATAGTGAGTGAGTTTTCACAAGATCTGATGGTTTTATAAGAGGCTTTTTCCCCTTTGTTCAGCACTCATTCTCTCTCCTGCCACCCTGTGAAGAGGTGTCTTCCACCACGATTGTAAGTTTCCTGAGGCCTCCCCAGCCATGTGGAACTCTGAGTCAATTAAACCTCTTTTCTTTATAAATTACCCAGTCTTGGGTACTTCTTCATAGCAGCATGAGAATGGACTAATACAAATGCCAAGCTAATATAAATGTTACGAGGTCTAAATCAGTTCATATATATAAAGTGCTTAGAATAGTTCCTGGGCCATAATAAATACAATGTAACTGTTTGCTTTATTTTTATGCCCATAATTATTAAAAGTGAAAAATAAAATGTTATTGAAATGCATGTCACTGAGATGGATAAGTTTTTAAATTAGCTTATGTATTAAATGCTAACTATTATTTATTGCTGGAGTGAATCTGAGTTCCATCATGGCTGTCACACTTTTTCATTTATATACTTATAATGAGAAACCTTTTCATATATAGGGGTAGATGAGAATAGAGTCTTGTTATAGCAAAAATCTCCTAATTCTTTGAACTTTTTTGGATTATGTGCCAAAAAATGACTCATTGGTCTTTCATAAATATCATTTTTAATGATCTTTCAGTGAATGGCTCCATTAAATTCTGCTTCAATTTTGTTGAAAGCATTCAGTTAGAAACCATCTCACTTGCAAAATGATTTTTCTCCAGTATATGTAGTCATTTTCTTTTGCAACACCAATACCAGTGTTTCTAATTATACCATTTCTGGGTGCCCTGAGAGAATTTATCATTCAGGACAGTGTACTATTGTCAAACAGTATGGGTAAAAAGTACTATTTTTTAAAAGAGAAAAAGTAAGGGCTAATGTGAAAGAGAAGGTGGAAACAGAACTAGAAATGGCTCCTGGACTGTACTCCTTCTGAGAGTGCAGCATGATTCTGGGCAGATTCGTTCTGGAAAGTCTTTGTGTGGCCCTGATGCATGTACTCCAGTGTTAAGATCATGACCACTGGGGCCATCCTTTTTCCCTGGGGAGTCTGAGCCAGGGACATATCATGCCCAGCATTTGCTAATTTGAATTTTGACTTCTGATCCTTGTTGGGATGTGCGTTTGGGAGAGAGCCAGTCAGTGCTGTGGTTCTTATACTGTGGTCCACAAATCCAGGGGGGGTACCCCAGATCCTTTTAGGGAGGTTCTGTGAGGTAAAAACTATTTTTATAGTAACACAAAGATGTTTGTGATTTTTACTGTGTGGATAATTTGCCCTGACAGTGCACAAGCAATGGTAGGTAAAACAACTGGCCCTTTATCATGAATTAAAGCAGTGGCACAAATGACCAGGGGTCATTGTATGTTTTGGCTCACATTTGTGGTTTAAAAAAATTCCATTTTCACTTAAGAATATCCTCAATGAAGCAGTAAAAAAAATTTTAAAAGAAATCCCAACACCTGTGTATATGTCTTTTTAATATTCCATGTGATGGAACAGGCAATATGCATAAAGCACTTCTGCTGCACGTCAAAGAACAATGTCATGAGGAAAAGCACTTAAATGATTGTTTGAATTGCAAGCTGCGCTGGCCACTATTTTTCTTTTAACAAAACGTCATTTTTGGTAGAAAGATTTTGCTGACAAACTATTGTCTTAGTCCATTTTGTTCTACTATAACAGAATACCACAGACTGGGTAATTTATAAAGAACAGAAATTAATTCTATCACAGTTCTTCAGGCTGGGAAGTCCAAGATCAAGGTGCTGGTAGATTAGGGCCTGGTCTTTCTGCTTCTACCTTGGTGCATTGAACACTGTGCCCTCCGGTGAGAAAGAATGTTGTGTCCTTACATGAGGAAGAGCAGGAGAGAGAGAGAACCCGCAGCTGCAAGCCCTGCTTATAGCAGCATTAATCCATTCATGAGGGCCCCACCCTCATGACCAACACATCTCTTGTTACACCTCACCTCTCTACACGGTGGCATTGGAAATTATATTTTCAGCACATGAATTTGGGGAGACATTCACACCATAGTAATTATGGTTATTCATACTTTGGTGTTCATAATAGGCATTTTTCTTCAAAATGAGGAATGAGCCTGGTACTTCAGTGAAAATACCTAATAGTATTTATTTCTAATGTTAAAATTCAAGTTTTCAAGGAAACATTTGGATTTTGGTTCAAGCTTGTGACTTCATTGTGAGTTTTACAGCCTACCACTACCAAAAGTCTTTTGATGAGATCGGTGGTGATATGTGATAGTAGCAAATAGGATTTTCAGAATATTGTGTAATGAAATGTGTAAACATTTTGCAAATTTATGTAACTCAGTGACCTCATATTTTTCAAATGGTCAGTGCATGATGTTACAAAATCATGCATCGGTGTGTTAGTGTTCTCCACTAACACAAATGTTCTCCAAACTGATGGAGAACATTAGTTTGTGTTCTCCAGAGAAACTGAAGAAATAGGATCTCTCTCTCTCTCTCTCCCTGTGTGTGTGTGTGTGTGTGTGTGTGTGTGTGTGTGTGTGTATGTGTTTATGTAGAGAGATTTATTTTAAGGAACTGGCTTATTTAGGTGGAGGCTGGCAAGTCTGAAGCCTGCAGGGCAGACTTGCAGGCTGGAAATTCAGGCAGCAGTTGGTGTTGTAATCCTAAGTCTCAAGGGTGGTAGTCAGGCAGCATTTCCACATTTCCACGTTGCAGTCTGGAGACGGAATTCCTTTTTTCTTGGGGGACCTGAGTCTTTTTCTCTTAAGGCCTTCAATTGATTGGATGAGCCTCGCCCACATTATGAAAACAGAACCATTTCACTCCATCTACTGATCTAAATGTTAGTCACGCCTTAAAAAAAATACCTTCATAGCAACGTCTAGCCTGGTGTTTGAACAAACAACTGAACACCGTAGCCTAGACAAATTGGCACATAAAATTAACTATCGCAATGGATAAAAGATTCATTCAAGTTGAAGGTAGACCAGTAGATTCGACATCACCAATAAGCTTCAAGAAACTACCACTTGTTGAATATTGTAGTATCAAAGGATGTCTGCAATTATCTGGAAAGCTGTTAAGATACTCCTCACTTTTCCAACTATAATGCATCTGAGCAAGGATAGATTTTCCTCATATACTTCAACTAGAATAACATATAGCAGCAGATTGAATGTAGAAGGAAATATGGGAATTCAGCTTCTATTCTCCTGGATTAAGCCAGATATTTAAAGAGATTTTCAAAAATATTCTTTAAAATTATATTCTTTTCACTAATTTTCTTCATTTTAAGAAATATAGATTTTTAAAATAAAATGTTTTAATAGACAATAGATTATTTTAATGCATTAATAAATTTTTAAAAACTTTTCTCTTAGATATCATACACTTACAAATTCTTTTCTCAGTAATATTTTAGCGTAAAGGGACCTTTAACACTGTTGTTTGGTAATTGCTGCATTGGTAAATGGAAGGTGATAGATTGGGAAAATAATTAATTCTTATTAAGACAGCACATGTTGTGGTTAGATGTTTTCTTGAGGTGTTAGCCTGTTTGAACATTTGAATATTTTAATGAGTGTTTTACATAAAAAGTGGTTTGCACACATATACGACCACAGTGTTAGTGGTTGTTCAACATAATGTAAGATAAACACCCTGAAGTGAGCAGGCTGGTTAATTTGGGGAACTTTCTTCCACATCGGATGTAGTTGAGGGGAAGTTTGCGTTATATTGGAGAGCTGGAGAGCAGTGTCCCCTGATGAAGAGCTTCCCAAAGATGACCTGCTGATGCTGGGTTGCTCTTTTTTTTTTTTTTTTTTTTTTTTTTTTTGAGATGGAGTCTTGCTCTGTCTCCCAGGCTGGAGTGCAGTGGCACGATCTGGGCTCACTGCAAGCTCTGCCTCCTGGGTTCACGCCATTCTCCTGCCTCAGCCTCCCGAGTAGTTGGGACTACAGGCACTCACCACCATGCTCGGCTAATTTTTTTTGTATTTTTAGTAGAGACGGGGTTTCACTGTGTTAGCCAGGATGGTCTCGATCTCCTGACCTCATGATCTGCCTGCCTTGGCCCCCCAAAGTGCTGGGATTACAGGCATGAGCCACCACACCCAGCCAGGGTTGCTCTTTAAAGTGACTCTCAGAGCTCTTTGCCAATTAATTGGATGAGGAATTTCAGCAGCTTTTTAAAGTCCTGCCTCTGGGCCCCAAATCCCTGAACATCTCCAACATCTGCTTCAACTGTTCAGTCCTCCTCACTTTGTTATAACAATGTTAGAAATGTAGTGCCAGCTGCAGTTTTACGGTCTGAGTTTAACCAATGACACCAACACCCGTCCTAGGTCAGCATCCTTAATTTTTGGTTTTGGCACATGGAGGATAATGTACACAGTATAAATCAATATGTCTAAGAGGAAAGGAAAGCAAAGTGCTAAAAGCAAAATTTGAACTCATAGAGACTGTTTTACTTTAATAATCCCTTATAGTCTCCCTTTCCAAATTATCACATGAAACTTGTTCCTGAATACATTTTCTTTCTTACCTGTTAAAAACATTAACTGTAGCCCTGTGCAGTGGCTCAAGTGGATAATCCCAGTATTTTGGGAATCTGAGGCAGAAGGATTGCTTGAGGCCAGGAGTTTGAGACCAGCCTGGGCACACAGTGAGACCCTGTCTCTACAAAAATAATAAATACCCAGGCATGGTGGTGCATGCCCATAGTCCTAGCTACTTGGGAGGTCGAGACAAGAGGATCGTTTGAACCATGGAGTTTGAGGCTGCAGTGAGCTATGATTGCACCACTGCACTCCAGCCTGGGTGATAGAGTGAGACCCTGCTCTGAGGGGGAAAAAATATATATATATTTATATATTATTAATATATTTATATATATATTTATATATTATTAATATATTTATATATATTTATATATTATTAATATATTTATATATTAATAATATAATTTATAATAATATAATTAATATATTTATATATTATTAATATATTTATATTATATAAACATTATATTATATATAAATACATTATGTATTAATATATTTATTATTAATATAAATATATAATATAAATAGATTATAAATATAAATACGTTTAATAATATATAAAATTATAAATACATATTTATAAATATATAAAATTATAAATATATAAATATAAAAATAATATAAATATAAAAATTATAACATAAATATAAAAATATAAATATAAATATAAAAAATTATAAGTATAATAAATATAAATATATATACATTATATACAATATTTTATATATATTATATATAAGGATATATATATTTTATATATATATATCCTTCTTTAAAAATCATCTTCTAAAGGTTCAGGTAGATCATGACAAGGACATTTGTGATCTAGGTTGATGACAAATACTAGGCATCCGCCTTATTTGGTTTCTCAGCCACATGTTTCCTGAGAGATCCCTGAAATAGGAGTGTGGTTCCAATGGCTGCAAGGAAAGAGCAGCCTGCAGACTAATTGGCATGCAGCTGGGAGCAAGAGCAGCCAAAGTGACTTACAAAAGATCTGCTGTGTCCTAACAGGCCTGGAGATTTCCTGCAGACCCCGGCAAAGTGGTTCAGGCTGTGTTTGGAGTAGCTCAGTCTGAAAGCCAGTTAGATTGTGGCAGCTGCTTGATTAAAGAACGCTGTTCAGTAGAAAAGAGGGAAACAAACGAGAAAACAGAAATAGACTCTACGTACTGATTGTTTGACTAGAGACAGATAGAGACCCATTACCAGTGAGTCTAACAGGGTATAGCAGTATCAGAACAACCTAACTTTGGCTGGTCATTTCACTTTTTGGCAAGGTGTTTGCCTCCCATGTGCTATGGATTTTCTCTCGGCTTTATTTTCTCTCAAATGATGGTGAGACTCATGTTCTGCGATTGGAAAGCACTTTAGGCTTTTCCCTGTTTTCATCTCTATAGTTAAACTCCTATAGCAACCTCAAGAAACCTATCCTACAGGTTAGTGCACAGTAAAGAGTAAGACGAATTATTAAAAGCCTTTTAAAACACCTGTAAATATAAAGGCATTAAACAAATTTTAAACACATTTTGGAAAGCAGAGGCATATCTAGAAAAGTGTTGTCAAGTTGTGATTGGTGCATTACCATCTGGCATCTTGTTCCTACCCAGGAAAGAAGGCCAGAGAAAAGAGAGAGAGGCTTATGGAAGTGGGATTTTTTTCTGATTTCTTTTCCAGTTTTTTCTGTTTATTTAGAAAATCTGTGAATTTTTTTTTTCAAAATTTTTATCTGAATGTACTTGTATTTTAAAAGTGGAACATGGAAATGTATTGTTCTTTCTTATTTGTGTTAATGTGGAAATATTTTTTCTTTTCTTCCTTTTCACTTTCTTACCCAATGTATTGTTTTGTTTTTCTTAGCTCTCTGGGTATTGCTCTGAAGCTTTTTTAAGTGAATTATCTCACTTAATATACACACAGCCCTATGAAGTTGTTGTTAAAATTTTTATTATTTCCATTTTGCAGAAGACTGGCTGAGGCTCTGAGAAGCCAAATGCCATTAGCTTAAGGTCACACCTGGTGATGTCAGCATTTGAATCCAGGCAGTCTGACAACATCACCCCACTGCAACACTGTTGCCAATCTCTGAAACTTTTCTCCAAATATTGAAATTTAATTGCCTCTTATTATACTTGCTTTTTGAGTGTGTTATAGATGGAATAGAGTATTTTGTTTTCTGATATATAGTGCAAAAATAAACAAAAACAGTATTTAAAAATATATTCTTCATCTTGGCATTTGACTCTTGTTCAATATCCTTTCTTGGTGATTTTTCTCTCGTTGTAGAACTAGTCTGAAAGGATATTCTCTTGACAAAACAATATTTTCTTATACTCCTATGTTTAGGAGAATAAGAAATTACTTCATTTTCTCAGAAGAAAATCGAGACGAAATTTTGTTGGGACTTGGCCCTTGATTTTAGATGCTCATTTCAACTGCAAAGCTTCAAACTTTGGGAATCTCTCTTGTTGCAGAGGCTCTATCTCCTATTATATAAAAACAGGTTAGCCTAAGGGCTCAAGACGGTACATTCTAGGTTGATATTTGGGTTTGTGTGTGCTTCTGGCATGGAAAATATCTTGTCTTTAGAATGTATTTAACAAACGCAAGTTTTCCCAAGGACCTGCCAGTCAGCAGTTGGTGTTGACTTTGGGTATCCTGAAGCACTGTTTGGAAATGTGCATTGTGGCTCTGTCCTGAAGTGGGCTTTATGGGTAAAATACTTTAAAACTGGGAGTCAATGGGCTTTAGAGAATTCCATTGTGTGCAATATTGGTTTGTTTTTAGATTTTCAAAGGGGGCTCAGTGGTTAAGAGCTAGTGTTTTGGATGATCTCTGAAGTGACTTCGACAAATTATTTGTTCCTCTGACTTTTGGTGTCTATTATAAGAGACATTTGCTCTGCGCTGTTCATGTGCATTTATTTAATAAATAAAGTGCATTAAGTTTTGTGGTAGCTTTCTTTAATTTATCATTCCCTGGCTGTATTCACTCATTCATTTATTAAAATCTTGTGCCAGGCACAGTACCAGAGTAAAGCAAAGTGAATCAGAGCACCTCATTATATATTCATTCTGCAATTCTGTGCTTTTCTGTTTTAGCTGTTATCACATTTTCTGTATGCATTTGTGTGTTGTATCCTTCTGGAGGTCAAGGCTTGTCTTGTTTCCTTCCCTGACATATCCCACAGTACTGGGCACACTGCCTGGCATATGAAAAGATCTTAAGCAATATTCCTTGAATGAGGACATCTTGTGTCTCCTCAGAGTACCTCGTTTCTCAGCAGGGGTTCACTACATGTCTTCCATGAGTAAGTATTCACCAGAAATTTGAGTGTCTGACTTGGTTCTGTGTGTCAAGGGGCTAGAAACAAAAAACACTGTGGCTCTCCAGCCTCAAAGACCTTGTAGTGTAGAAAAGCGGGAGAGAGGACCGTATTTAAACTTCAGTTTTTAAGTGCTGTGGCAGGTGAAAAATGTGGACAGGTAGTGCACAGCAGACAAGGAAGGGTGGTTCATACGGATGAGACTGCGGGAGGATGTGGAAGAGGGATAAGAGAAAGAGAACATGGTTGAAGAACAGGATCAGTAAGAAAGGACGATGGCCACATGTGCAGAGGCCAACCCAAGGATAATGGAAAAGTCTGCAAAATCCTCCAGGTTTCAGTGCTGTCTTCCACTGCCTTGCTCTTAAAATCAGGACTTCAGTGGGAGAAGGGCTAGTGGCTATCAGAAGAGATCTTCAAAGAGGAGAAAGGATGGTGCTGAGGGTCATTGTAACACTCTGGACTTTGTAGCCTCATAGTAGAGGACGCGATGCCTGGAGCTGAAGAGCAGAGGCGGGGGAGATGCTTGGGGAGTGGATGGACACAAGGGTTGAAGGGGCTGGCAGGGAGCAGGAGTAAAGACAGCTTGAAGGAAGATTCTGCAATAAATTTTATATAGTAGCTAAGCAAGCTTTTTTTCTGGAAGGAAATGCCGAAAATATGTTAGCTAGATCACATTTATGACTTAGGGACTTCATGCGAACCAACATGGTAGTAGTGGGGGCAGAAGCAGATCCAAGGAAGGGGCTTGAGTGAGCCCTCCAGCATGGTTCTAAAACCAGGACAGTCCCCAACCTATTCCCAAGCCACCTCTTGACATCCACGAGGTGAAAAGCAACCATTTTGCAGGGAGTTCATCTTCTGCCTCGTAATTGATTGCCATCAGGTCTGACTGTCCCCATAGGACCCAAGGGCTCCAGGCCAGACCCATTCTGTTCTTCAGGGTTGGAACACTGTTAACTTTCTTCTGTTTTCCACCTATGGGAGAATACGTTTTTCCACTTGCTGCTTTCAATCCTGTCTTTGTACTTCTCCCCTCCCCATGCCAGCTGTTTTTTATATTTGATTTTACCTCATTCTTTTCTCTTTACCCACCGCTGCCCCCAACCAAATCCTTCATCACCCCCAACAAAATGGTGTTCTGGAAAGAGAAATTACAGCATGCAAGTGAAAGCATATCAAAAAATACCCACATTGAATGGCATTGAAAGAATTAACAGTAAACTCCAGGAAGCTGATTCTAGCCCCAGAGTATAAAAATAATTGTTTTTATGGATGTCTGTTCCCAAGTGGTTTAAGATTCCTGGAGTCTGTGTTTCCAGATGAAAGCATCTGCACCAAACCCTGTTAAAATAGTTCCATAATCACCTGGTCACATTCCCACATTTCAGCAAAGAAGCCAAAATGTACATAGAAGTAATTACTTCCCGACTGAATCCTGATGCTAATGGCACTACCTCATTAGCATTGTGGCTCATTCAGGAGCCAGGATATACTTTTAATTACTTTAGATCAAAGATAAAATGAGCGTGCAATGGTTAGGCAGAAGGAAAATGCAATGCCTTTATGTCTCAACACACAGGAAATAGGGATTATATTATTTTTGCTCTTGTCTCTGCCTTTAATGTTCTTGGCTGTGCAAATCCTTGCTCTTAGGAAAACGCACACATCTCTCCCCATCTAAACCTTCCTCTTCCTGCATAGCTGGGTCAGAATTCAGCCTCTCAAGGAAGCTTTTCTTGACCACCCCATTGCAGTTCTGTCTGAACTTGGTAGCCTTGTTTGTGTGCCATTTACTGACAGTGTGCAGCATGGTAAAATTCCGTGCATCCCTTTCAGCCAATATGCCATACACACCAACCCCTAGTAGATTGATTTTATTTCTGGTAAGCTTTGGGAGAACTGTAGGAAACATATCCTGGAGAACTAGTGAAGATGGGATAAGAGAGAAATTATAATTAGAAGTACAGCTTTAAATAGCTTTTTATAGTTTAGATGATGCTTTTTTTTTTCTTCAGCCCGAAGCAGACATTCTTGGGAATTAGACATAATGTAAGCAGTAGAGCACATGATATTTGGGGCTCATTCTGCCCATCCTAAGGTGTCTTTAGGGCAGGCTAGACCTAGTGTAGGGGAGGAAAAAATAATTTTGTTTCTCTATCCTTCATAGTTCTCAGTTGGGACAGAGCCCTGTAACAAAAGACAGATTGACAAGTGAGAAAAAACAGAAGCTTAATAAAATGTGTACCTCATGTGTACACAGGAGAAACACAGAGAAATGAGGAAATCTCAAAGAGATGACTTTGAATTCAGGTTTAAATACCACAGTCCTTTGAAACAAGAAAGAAGGGTGTGGGGAAGCCAGGTAATGGGGAGGTGACCTGGACAAGCAGTGTAAGCAAGGATAAGATTTGCTGTGCAGATTTCAGTGGGTGCCCTCTCCACTGATGCGTCTCCAGTGACTGAGTCCTCCTTTTCCTGGTATAGATGGGGAGACACACTTACAAATGGAGAGTTCCTCTGTGGATGTAAATTTCTCTTACCAAAGAGTGATTTGTATTCTGTTTTCAGAGCTTTTCCTGTATCTGCAGTTTCTCAAAATAATCAGCTCAAAATAATCCTTATGCCAAGGCAGCTTATTTTGGAGTAGCATATTCTAGTCTCTTACACTAGAAACTGATGACTAGAGAAGAGTTCCCCAAGTTTGACCGATGGGCCACCTGTGCACCCGGGATTTGAATGGTGGTATTACACCACGGTGGTGATAGAGTCAGCCCCTCCAGTAGCATCCTCCCCTACAAGGTGCTGTCATCTGTGTTTGGCCTCTGCTCTGAACTCCCATCAGCCTGGTGCTCATGCCTTCTGAGGCTGCTCATTCTTCTGGGGTGAGGACTCTTCTTCCATCAGTAGACCTGTAGGTATTTATCGGCAGCATTTTGTCCTCCTGAATAATTTGTTTTCCAGGATAAACACCCTCACATTTTCTAGCTTTTCTTCATATAACATATAAATAGTTTTAAGTTTTCTTATTATTCTGGTTCTTTTCGTTAGATATGCTGCAATCAAAAGATGTCTCTAAAAGTGAGAGGCCCAGAGTTGAATTCTCCTGGAAGTGGAGTAGAACCAGCACCTTCCTCCTTATAGACTGTGGATCCATTCATCTAGCCTAGTGTCAAGTCTTGTATAACAGACAGGTCATTCTTGGATCATAACACATGTGCTGTCAGCACACTCTTCAAGGTGTTATATTCCTTTTTGGCTTCATTTTCCTCCACTTTTGCCCTCTACCTATGGAGTTATAAAGTCTTAAATTAGAATATCAAAAAAAATTGTCCAATTAAATTTCAGTGTATTAGATTAGGCCTCTAATACACTCACAAGGAAATTAGAGTATATTAGAGGTTTCTGGGTTTTGATTGCCACTCATCATAGTAGCTCTCCCACCTTCAAAGCTGTACCATCTCTGTGAGCTGTGGATGTTGAAGTAACCAGGTAGGCTATTCCCTTGTGAAATGACTTTATCTGCCTATGCCCCCAAGATGCATTCCTTTCCATTCAGACTTTCTATCATTCATCTGTTCATTCATACGTTCATTCATTAGTCCTTATAGGTGCATGACTTGAAATTGAGCCACTTTAGTTTTTGATGATACAAAGCTGGACTTGCAATAACTTTCTATTTTATTGTAATTAGTGTATCACTATTTTCTTGTCAAAATACCATGGTACTACTATGTTTTGAAAACCAAGAATAGATTTACAAATATCAAAGTAGCTATTACTGAAGTTGGTAAAATCTCTGAAATTATTATTTTTAGTTCATATCAGGTACCAATGATAATAACTCAACCTAAGTGTATTTGTACATTTTCATACTGCTATGAAGAAATACCCGGGACTGGGTAATTTATAAAGAAAAAGAGGTTCAATGGACTCACAGTTTCACATGGCTGGGGAGGTCTCATGGGAAAAACCTGACCCCATGATTCAGTTACCTCCCATTACATGGGGATTATGGGAGCTACAATTCAAGATGAGATTTGGGTGGGGACACAGCCAAACCATATCACTAAGTAAAGCCAGAAGACTTGGAAAAAGCAATAGTAATTTTAACTTTGTTTCCCAAGAGGTGTTAAGTGGCAGGAAATATAAAAGGGTTTCAAAGGATTTATACAAATTTATGAGTGAGTCATGAAAGTTTAAAGAGAAGCTGGGCTTAAGGTAACCTTTAAGGTTGACAGCCAGGAGTATAAAACAGTCAGGGGGTGGAACTGGATGATGTCTGCAGTCCTTCTCACTGGAATAAGTTGCTGTAACTTTAGAGATCTCATTGCCTCATTGTGGTTGCTGTTAGCAAAAATGCGTCTTGGCATTAAGCATAATTTAATCCGAGCAAATGGTATCTTGGAAAAAAGCAACCAGTTCTCTATAAAATTATTTTAAATCAATAATGAGTAAAAATAGTAGTATTTCGCAGGTGGTATTAGAGTCTACTGACAATAAATTGCTATAAGAATCTTTACTCGGAAACTAGCAGTGAAATAAGTTGTTGTTTAAACTCTTCTCTTGATAATAACATATACCTCAAGCTTTTTCTGAGCTTCATCAATTCAAAGAAAGTTATTTCCTTTTGAAGAAGATTTTCTAGGTTGATACATGGGAGTAAAGCACTGTTTTACTCTAAGCACCTCCCATGACTCTTTCATGCTTTCAAAAGACAGTTTTCCTTATTTTGTTTTTTTCCTGCCACCCGTTCATGCTGTGTATCCCCAAGCACAAGTCATTTTTTCAGTTCCTTTTTTTTTTTTTTTGAGACTGAGTCTCGCTCTGTCACCCAGACTGGACTGCAATGGAGCAATCTTGGCTCACTGCAACCTCTGCCTCCTGGGCTCAAGCAATTCTTCTGCCTCAGCCTCCCGAGTAGCTGGGATTATAGGCACGCGCCACCGTGCCTAACTAATTTTTATATTTTAGTAGAGACGCAGTTTCACCATGTTGCCCGGTCTGGTCTTGATCTCCTGACCTCAGGTGATCCACCTGCCTCGGCCTCCCAAAGTGCTGGGATTGTAGGCATGAGCCACCGTGCCTGGCCTCAGTTTGTATTTTTTATAAATTAGAAAATATCGCAGTCCTTAGCTGTGTGGTATGATGGACTATTTTTTTCTTATGTCAATGAACCAATCTTTAAGCATTTGAGGAAAACAACTCTGAAATGAGTGTCTACAGTAACGGAGTGGCCGGCATACTCAAGGCTGCCTCCCAATGGCCTGCGCTGCCTCGGATTCACCCGCTTGTGTAGTCTGTTCCCATTGAGTGTGCACTGCGCTTAGTGATGCACTTTTGTGGAAAAGCGGTGGTGGAACGTCATTTCTGAGATTGGGTTGTAAAAGCTGCAACCCCTGTCCTGGGTATTCTTATTCTCTGCTCGCTCACTTTCTCTGAGGATGCCAACAGCTTTACAGAGAGGGCCATGTGCCAGGGAATGAGGGAAACCTCCGGTGAACAGCTGGCAAGGAATGGAGGCCCAAGTCCAACCACCTCAAGGAACTGAACTCAGCCAGTGACCATATGAGTGAGCTTAGGAGTGATCTATCCCCATCTGAGCCCGACAAGTTTTGGAGTAATTTATTAGACAGAGATAACTAATACAAATTTTTCAGTGGACAATATATTCCTGTTTTTGGATATTGCTGTCATTGGAAGACTGTGCCAGAAGGTAAATGAAGGTGGGTGTAATGTTTCATATTAGAAAAATTAAACAGGTAGAATTTATATTAGGAAAAGAAGAAGGCAGTATCATGAAGTTGAGATGGGAAAAGCTTATTAATCAGTCCATAGTTTAATCTGGATTCTTGGCACATCTATCTCCTTTGAAAATAAATTATAGTATATATTCATATTATTCTAGCATATTATTTTCAAAGTGGATTTGACTAAAATAGTTAACTCAGTATTATTATCCTTAACAAAACCTGCAATTGTATTAGGGAAACACATCTTCAATAGGGAAAGTAGCTTAACCAAGTTAGAGAAGTGGTATTGGTTTATTATTTTCATGGACCTACCTTACCTTATTTTTGTTTAAATGCCTTAAGAAAACTTAGGCCTTTTCTTGTCCTGAAATTATTGACATGATGAATTTAATTGGGTAGTGAATCTGTTATAGGCTACTACCTCATACCATGTCTCATACAGTCTGGAAAGAGGTTTCCACATTGACTACTGGCATTGCTGTAGCCTGTAGCTACCTGACAAGGAGTGAAAGCATTTAGTAAGCTATTTCTTTTTAAAGTTTTGTTGTCCAAGAAGCTGACACAAGGTGGGATTAGACATAAAAGAGATTTACTAGGGGAAAGCTAGTGAGGATAAAAGAGGAGTGAAAGGAGGTGGGAAGAACCTTCAGCCTTCTATGCAGGACTATGAAGCAGAGTAGGAAGGAAGGGGGAAGTTAGGAAGAGTCTCAGACTGCAGTGCATGGAGTTCTAGCAGTTTCTGGAGCAGGCTGACATAGAGTCCAGGAGCCAAAATTTCTTGTCAGGGGAGCCCTCCATCTTGCAGGAATGGACCTGCCTTAGTTTCCCAGCCTTGCTCAGTCACTAACTGGGAGCTACCCTCGTGAGTGTAGCCTAAGGCAAAACCGGTGGTGGACTTCGAGGATGCAGGAGCTGGGGCCAAAAGTCAATCTTACTCCCGCAGCAGGAAGCCTCAGTGGCACATTTTATGGTCACCCTGTTCTCTTTGAGTGGATTCCCATGGAGCTCTACTCAATCTTCTGAATTTACTTGTACTTGTGGGCTGGTGTTTCAAACGACTGATCATTTCCACAATAATCTCATTAGTCCTAAGATACAGCTGGCAAAAGCAAGACTCTCAGTCAGCAGAGCAGTGAGAGGACAGAGGGAAGAATCTCAGAAAAAAAAAAAAAAGAAAGAAATTCTGCTGGGAATTGGGAAGTTTGCTTAAAATACTTTAAAGAAAAACAAACCCCCAAACTTGCAAAGTGCCTGAGCCTTACTTAATGCATTTGTATCTAATTTATCACTTTCTTGTCACGACAATGAGTAATGTAAGTTTTCTTTAAAAAACAGCCTTTACAGAGTGCTGATTATATGCCAGGCATTGGCTGTGAGACATCACATATTTTGGTCCAGTAGCTTTAGTCCCATTTTTCAAGTGAGGACATGAAAATGTTATGTGAGTTGTTGAAGCATCTCAGTGGGCTCTGACTGATGATGAATGAGAAATATTCTATTAATACTTAATTTAGTGAGCACTTTTTGAGGAGTTCTATGAATAGGGTGCTATGTTAGTAAGCCATGCTATCATCAAAAATGTACAAGTACAACAAAATTCCAGCTTCTCTCCAGAAAGGTATCACCATCTTCACATTTGTTATTTGACTAGAGGTGTGAGGGGCAAGTTGGATCTTAGGAGACCAGATAAAATACTATCCAAGGCCTGGTGCGGTGGCTCATGCCTATAATTCCAGAACTTTGGGAGATCAAGGTGGGAGGATATTAAGCCAGGAGTTTGAGACCCGCCTGGACAACAAAGTGAGACTCTATCTCTACAAAATATTAAAAGAGCCCAGCTACTCGGGAGGCTGAGGCAGGAGAATGGCGTGAACCCGGGAGGCGGAGCTTGCAGTGAGCCAAGATCACACCACTGCACTCCAGCCTGGGTGACAGAGTGAGACTCTGTCTCAAAAAAAAAAACAAAAAAAAAAAGAAAAACAAAAATTAGCCAGACATGGTGGGGAGTGCCTGTAATCCTAGCTATTTGGGAGGCTGAGGCAGCAGGATCCCTTGAGTGCAGGAGTTTAAGGTTGCAGTGAGCTGTGATCACACCACTGTACTCCAGCTTGGGCAGCAGAACAAGACCCTATCTCTAAAGATAAAATAAAATTTAAATGTAAAATTTTAAAAATTAAAAATACTGTCTGATATTAAAGGGAATCTTACTAAACAACAATATATGTGTCTTGAAGGAGAGGGATCAAAGCTACCAGATGATGGCAAGGCATGGTGGCTTATGCCTGTAATCCCGGCATTTTGGGAGGTTGAGGTGGGAGGATCCCTTGAGTTTAGGAGTTCAAGACCAGCCCTGGCAATGTCGTGAGACCCATCTCTACAAAATAAAAGTAAAAAATTAGCTGGGCTTGTTGGTGTGCGCCTGTAGTCCCAGCTACTCAGGAGGATCGCTTGAGCCCGGGAGGTCGATGCTGCAGCAAGCTGTGGTAGCGCCACAGCACTCCAGCCTGGGTGACAGTGAGACCCTGTCAAAAAAAAAAAAAAAAAAAAAAAAAGCACCAGATGAAGAACTGGATGTATTTTGTGCCAAATAAAGTACTGATTTCTAAAACTATCTTTTGAATACAATTCTGGAAGTTTTCTGCTATATCTTATGTGCAATAGGTTACATGTCGCTAATTTGTATCAATTACATTTGGAGTTCTTAAAAACAATGTGGTATTCAAAGTAGTCATAGAAGATATTTTGTGCCTTCATGGCACTTTTTTCTGTCATATAACGTTGTAATTTTTTGGTAAGACACATGAAAATTTAAGTTGCTTTCACCTTTACTGTTTTCTCAGAGCTTGGTTTCTCATTTTTATGTTATAGATTATTTTAAAATTAGATATGAAATTCATAGAAAGTCATAAAATTGTGACTAGCCATGAAAAAGAATTGTGCATGAGCAAATATTTCCAAGTTGACACATCATGGGTATTCAGAGACCTTCCTCTGCACAACTGTTACCTATCCTCCTATGTAATTCTATTAAAAGAGAGTAATTCCTTAGTCACAAACCTAGTTCCTCCCTCTCCTCCCACTTCTGCCTTGGAACACGATAAGGCATTACTAAGTTGAACATCTTGGGGGGTCCATAATTAAAGATTCAACATGTGCACATAAACCCAGTTGGTCCTCTCCCAGTCTTGATGGTAGATTTATAACCTCACCTATCAAAAAGTCAAAATTCTGTTTCCCATTCATCCTAATAAAGCAGCAGGAGTTTCCTGAAAGGAATGCTGACAGGCCTAATTGTTCACAGCTGGAGAGTATGGGGTTGTTCCAGCAATGCAGTTTTAACCCCCTCTTTCCCCATTTCTCCCTTGACTTTGACAATAAGTGTTGGGCTCCAGGGATCTGTAACACTAATATTTTCATTTTCAAGATAGTGAGCATCTGTTCATACTCTGGCAAGACTTGTGAGATATTGACTTGGATTTGATTATATAGTCATGATTAATATCTGAGGTCCACGTTCCAGGCAAGCATGTAGGTACTGAAGTGTGACTGTTTGGGGGGAATGAGGCAAATAAAACACTGGGGCAGGTGAAGAACAAAGATCCCTTTTTAGTGTTCCATGAAGTTTTCCTCTAACTTAGAAACATAAGACCAAGGGGGACACTTTATTTGTCAACATCTCCAGAGTAGATACGATGGGACACATACACTAGGTGTGATGGTGAACTCTTGTGTTGTAGGAGCCAAAGCCAAGCATTTCCTCCTGGAATGTACTGACAATAGATAGACTAACAGGAGAAAATGGCGTACAAAATTTTATTAACACACACAGGGCAAAAATCACAGAGGAGTGATCACCCATTAACCCAATGGGATCTGGATGGTTATATACACTTCCACATAGGGCAAGGGGAAGTGGGGGATCATGGCAATATGAAAGGTATTAAATGATTTTTAAAGGGAATAAATGGGCGTGGGAGAGGACAATACCTGGTGACGAAATCTGTCCAGATGTGGTTACATTCCTCAGTCTTCTCTCTGCAATATGAGTTTAGTGAATGAAAACTCAGGGAAGGGACAAAAGGCAATTGTTTTCTTCCTTGGTTGGTCCAGTCTTTAGGCAGATAAGGGAAGATCAGAGGAAAGCCTCTTCCAGCACCTCCTGATTTCCAAGGGCCTTTAATTTAAAGAATAATCATACAAGAGTACTCTATTTTGGGGTGACATTTTCTGGATATCAACTTGGCTAGACCACCGGGTGCCTACATATTTGGTCAAAAATTATTCTGAGTGTTTTTCTGAGGGTTTTCTTCTTCTTTTTTTGGTTGGGAGTAACTTTTAACTCAGTGAATTTTGAACAAAGTGGATTGTCCTTGGTAATATGAGTGGACCTCATCCAATCAGTTGAAGGCCTGAATAGAACAAAAAGACTGGCCTCCCCTGAGAAAGAGAGAATTCTCCAGGCTGTCTTTGGACTTCACCTGCAAAATCAGCTCTTCCTGCCTTCACACTCAGACCCTGGGGCATTGACTCTCCTGTGTCTTTGGCCCGCCAGTCCTTGGGCTAGAACCCTGGCTCTCCTGGAGCGAGATCAGCCTGCCAGCCTGCCATGCAGATTTTGAACTTTCTAGCCTCCATAATCACATGAGCCAATTTCTTTTAATAAATCTCTTTCTATACACACACATACATCCTTTGGTTCTGTTTCTCTGGAGAACTCTAATAGACTAGATGATTTGAAAAGATAGTTACTTTAGACATTGTACCCCTTAAGCATCAGAGAAAGCCTTACAATTCTTGATCATTGTGAGCATCCTCAGATTTCTGAGTTGTGAGAGGTTATCATAGTAGACACCGGGAATGAAGAAAGAAGCTTAGAGTATAACCAAGAGAAGCAGGACAGGCTCATATAAAGGTAAAAGACTGTCCCAAGACAGTGCTACACCAAGGGCTAAGTGACAGGTGGAAGAAGTGAAATTCAGCTAGTATGTAGTATGTAGTGGAACCTGTATTCAGACTAGGTCTACATGACTGTGTTCTTGGTTCTTTTCATTTTTTTCCTTCATTCACTTGACGAATACATATTGAGAACCTGTCATATGCCAGGCATTACTCAAAGTTCTGAGAATAAATTGGTAAACAATGCAAGCAAAATCTCCTGCTTTCATGGAACTTATGATTCTAGTTTATACAGTGAATGAGGATGCCGTACACGTAAACTTAAAGTATACTTTTATAGACTTTCCTGGTTTTCAAAATATTTTATATCCTTTTATTTCATGTTTCATCTAATAAGAATAATATTCCTTCTATGTTGTCATAAGTTGCTATAAGTTCAAGTTTTATTATAATGCAAATTATAAATAAGGAAATGAAAAATTTATAAATTTCAGAATAAGTACTGTTAATTTGCACAAAATACCTTCTCCATATATTAGGTTTCTTTCTTCTATTTATTTCCTACCCTACTTCAATAAAACTTAAGTATCTGATGTGACACGTTAATGGTCCTAGGAAAACATAACCATATTAATTCCTTAAACTTTAAAAATTAGAACCGTAGCTTGATAAAACATGAATAAACCTTCACTTTTCATCCTTTTTAATAAGAAAAGAAAGTAAGCAATAACATTGGTATTGTTAATGTTGCCTCAAATCTTTCCAGAGCAAAAGATTTCATTTAATTTTCCTCTGTTTCTCAGTATATATTAAAAATTAACATGAAAATGAGTGACAGTGTCTTACACTCTTGATTAGGTTCCTATTTCAAAGGTGGGGTAGCTGGAGTTGACTGTTTTGGAATTCTTGTCACATCCAGAAGTGAAGTTTCTAAACCTGTTAGTCTTTTCCGTTTATTCTTACTTTTGAAACATTTAATAATACATTATTCTTTTGTTTCCCTTCTTCCCCATTAAAGCAATAGTCTTCTATCCTTGTGTAAACTGCAGTGACTTAGAGCTAGATGTATGTAGCTGGCTACATCTTTTCCCCAAGCACAAACTAATACAGGTGTGCAGGAACGAAATAATAGTGCTTCTGACACTGAAGGCTATAATGTCGAAATAAAGAGCAAAATTTATTTTTATATTGTTTCACAGTTAATTAAAATACTTTGTTCTTGTCCAAGATGTATTTAAATATATCTCCTTTGGAAAAACACCACTGGAAGGTAATAGGAGTCGTGGAAAATAACTGCCATCCATCAAGAGAAAAATTTGGAAAATTCTCAAAGCATAGGAACATAATATGCAGCTGGTTCATGCTTCAGTGAATTGTATTTATTTCAGTCCTGGGAAGGTTGCTTCCTATTTTCTCAATAGGTCCTAGTAAAATCCATCACAAAATCTCCTTCCATAATTTAGGTTGAAGACAGGTTATATATATATATATATATATATATATATATATATAAAAAGGAAGTAGTTTAAAATTTGTGAGAAGTAAATCTTATTGATTTACCTTATTGGTGGCAAAACTTTTTATTTTTATGTGAGTATTGTCAAGTCCTTTAAAATACTTAAACTTTTGGGTTATATCGTAATGTATTAAGTAGTGGCTCCCCAAAAGATCCATATCCAAATCCTTAAAACCTGTGGATGTGGCCTGGCGCGGTGGCTCACGCCTGTAATCCCAGCACTTTGGGAGGCTGAGGCGGCCAGATCACAAGGTCAGGAGATTGAGACCATCCTGGCCAACATGGTGAAACCCCGTCTCTACTAAAAATACAAAAATTAACTGGATGTGGTGGCGTGTGTCTGTAATCCCCGCTACTCAGGAGTCTGAGGCAGGAGAATCGCTTGAACCAGGGAGTGGGAGGTTGCAGTGAGCCGAGATAGCACCACCACACTCCAGCCTGTCAACAAAGTGAGACTGTCTCAAAACAAAAACAAACAAACAAAAACCTGTGGATGTGACCTCATTTCCAAAAAATGGTCTTTGCAGATGTAATTAATTAAGGATCTTGAGATGAGATCATCCTGGATTATCCCATGGCCCCAAATCCAATCAAGAGTGTTGTTATAAGAGACAGAGGAGAGCAAGACAGAGGAGAAGGCAATGTGAAGACAGAGGCAGGGATTGGAGTGATGTGGCTGGAAGTCAAGGAAGCTGAAGTATGCCTGGAGCCACCAGGAGCTGTGCAAAGAGGGATTCCTAGGGCCTTCAGAGGGAGTGTGGCCCTGCCAACAAATTGAACTTCTGGTCTCCAAAAATCTGAGAAAATAGATTGTTGCAGGTTTTTTTGTTTTGTTTTGTTTTGTTTTGTTTTGTTGAGATGGAGTTTCGCTCTTGTTGCCCAGGCTAGAGTGCAATGGCAAGGCTCACTGCAACCTCCGCCTCCCAGGTTCAAGCAATTCTCCTGCCCCAGCCTCCCAAATAGCTGGGATTACAGGCACCCACCATCATGCCTGGCTAATTTTTGTATTCTTAGTAGAGACGGTGTTTCACCATGTTGGCCAGGCTGGTCTCGAGCTCCTGACCTCAGGTGATCTGCCTGCTTCAGCCTCCCAAAGTACTGGGATTACAGGCGTGAGCCACCACACCCAGCCGCTTGTTGCAGTTTTTAACCACCAAGTCTGTGGCCATTTGTTACAGCAGCCACAAGAAACTTTAATGCAGCCAGCCTTCCATATCCGTGGATTTCACAGATTGACAATATTTGAAAAAAAAAAATTAAAAGATAACACAAAATTTAAAAAGCAATACAGTATAACAACTATTTGCATAGCATTTACATTGTATTAGGTATTATAAGTAATCTAGAGATTATGTAAAGTGTATGGGAGGATGTGTGTAGATTACATGCAAATACTGCCCCATTTTATATCAGGGATTTGAATATCTGAGGATTTTGATATCCCCAGGGGGTCCTGGAAGCAATACTCTGAGCGCACTGAGGTATGACTGTACATGTAAGCTTCAGAAAGTTTTGTTGAGTAACAATTATGTGTTAATGATGCAAATCATTGAGGAGATTGCTTCTGCTTTCAAGAAGCATAGGCAAGCGTAGAGAGTCAGATACGGGGATGGATCGTTATAGTACAGTGTGAAAAAGGTTTGTTAAGGACGGTATGTAGAGAGAGAGAGATAACAAATGGGAACATGGAAAGAATGCCAGCCTTTTTCTGAACAATGCCAGTATTAAGCTGCAGCTAATATTTGATCTATCAATTGAAAGCATTTATGTAAAATAATCTATTTTTAATACACCTATTAATATATAAAAAGAATGTAATTAATAACCTAAAGCCTTGAATTTGGTGAATTTTTAAGCTGGAGTATACTACATGAACCAGATATTTCAGTCTGCTCTACAAATACCAAGAGAACTAAATTATAACATCTAACCTGCTGTCAGTCTGCCCGGGCATTTTAGTACCTCTTTTCAACCCTGGCTGTCAGACTTTTCTCTTATGAAAATACATCTCTAATCTTACAAGGGAATACACTGAATAGAGACTTGTCATACTAATATTTATCACTAGTATATAAAAAATGATACTAGTAGAGTGCTTTATTTTTAAGCCTTATTGAGGTATAATTTAAATACTGTGAAATTCACCCATTTTTAGTGCACAGCATTTTAGTTTTTAAAATAAATTTATAGAAGCTAAAATTGATCTCACAGAAGTAGACAGTAGAATAGTAGTTATTAATATTAGAGGCTGGGAACGGGTGGGGAACGAAGGGGATAGAGAAAGGTTGGTTACAAATTTTGGATACAAAATTACAGTTAGGAGGAATAAATTCCAATATTCTATAGAACTATAGACTGACTATAGTTAATAGTAATTTATTATATATTTTCAAATAGCTAGAAGAGAGGATTTTCAATCTACCCAACACAAAGAAAAGATAAATGTTTGAGATGATGGATATGCTAATTATCCTGATTTGATCAGCACACATTGTATGTATTTAAATATCCCTCTGTACCTCATAAATATGTATAATTATTATGTGTCAATTTTAAAAAACAAGAACTTTGAACATTTTCAAAACTTTTACAGCTGATTTGATCAGTACACATCGTATGTATTTAAATATCCCTCTGTACCTCATAAATATTTATAATTATTATGTGTCAATTAAAGAAAACACTTTAAACATTTTCAAAACTTTTAGAGCTGTGCAAACCTTACTACGGTTCACTCTTATAATATTCTCACCCCTCTAAAAAGACCCCTGATGGGCATTTGCAGTCAGTTTTCACTCCTAATCCCAGCCCCAGGCAATCACTCATCTGCTTTCTGTTTTTGTAGATTCGCCTTTTCTAGACATTACATATAAATATAATAATAAAACGTGTTATTTTGTGTCAGGCTTCTTTAATGTAGTATGATGTTTTTAAGGTTTATCTATGTTATAACATGTATTACTACTTTCTTCTATTTTTATTGCTGAATCGTGTTCACTTGTATTTTGTTTATAAATGTTTTGTTTATCCATTCACCTGTAAGTGGACATTTGGATGGTTTTCATTTGGGGCTGTCGTGAATAATACTCTATACATTCACATATAAGTGTTTGTGTGGATATTTATTTTTATATTCTTGGAAAGATGAATACCAAGGAAGGAATTGCCACTTTATATAGTAAAGGAATGTTTTAATTTTTGCTGAACTCTTCCAAACTGCTTGTACCAGTTGACATATCCTACCAGTAATGTATAAAGGTTCCAGTTTCCCCACATTTTCACCAGTACTCCTTATTGTCTACCTCTTTGATTATGGCCACTCTAGTGCGTGGGAAGTGGTATCTCATTTTGACTAATGACTGATGATATTGACTGTGTCCTTTGAAGCTTTCAGGTGAACTTAATTCATTTCGTTGGCCCTCAGAGCACAATTGTGTATTATTTTTTCCTAACCAAGCATGGCATAGAACAAACAATAGAGGAGAGAAAGATTATAAGAAGAATTGAGAAGAAAAGCGAAATAAAGATGATGTTGATGGGAAGCAATGAGAATAAAGTGGTATGATTATGTGAAAGGGAGGAAAAAGAAGAATTATTAAAGAGAATAAATTGTATTGTTTGGAAAGCCAAAGCATATTCTTGTAATGTTATCAGTGGGGAATAAAGACACAAGCACACTGAAAACATTGGTAATAATTTGAACATTCTTTGTTGAGAGTAATGACAATGTCTACTGAGGTCATTCATTTATATCACAATGTGCTCATGAGCTGAGAGTGCTTTTATTATTAATTACACTTGTCTAGTCTCTACAAAGAGAACATTCCTATCTGTTCATAGCTTTTTTCTTCGATTTGTTAAGGTCTTCTATAATGCCTTTTACAGAGGTGATGTGCGACCCTCTGGACACAGCAGTAGCTCCATTGGAGCCTCTTAGTGTTGACTAAATAATCCCGAATTTCATGTTTTTCCTTCCAACACAGTTCTATTTGTACAGCACACTCACTTGTGTCCTCTCTCAGACCTCCAGTACACCATTGTGGGAAGTAGGTTTTTTTTTTTTTTTTTTCCTACTTTTGGGTGTATGAGTTGTTACCGTATGACTTCCTCATCATGTCTTATGAAACATCCTGAGAAGTTTCTCCATCTATTCTAAGATCTGAGTGATTGAGAATTGTTTCCTCAGTTTTGGCTTCCGGTAATGGTCAGTTTGACAGTCACTGTAACCACCCAACGGGTTTCACCTTGCCTGCTGCCTAGACAGAGCTGATTTATCAAGACAGGGGAATTTCAATGGAGGGAGAGTAATTCACACAGAGCCAGCTGTGTGGGAAACCAGTTTTATTATTATTCAAATCAGTCTCCCTTTTGGGGACCTGAGTTTTTAAGGATAATCTGGCGGGTAGGGGCTTGCGAAGTGGGGAGTGCTGATTAGTTGGGTTGGAGATGGAACCACAGGAAGTCGAAGTGAATTTCTCTTGCTGTCTTCTGTTCTTGGGTGGGATCTCAGAACTGGTTGAGCCAGATTGCTGGTCTGGGTGGTGTCAGCTGGTGCATCAAGTGCAAAATATCTCAAGCACTGAGCTTAGGTTTTACAATAGTGATGTTATTCCCAGGAGCAATTTGGGGAGGTTCAGACTCTTGCAGCAAAGGCTGCATGACTCCTAAACCATAATTTCTAATCTTGTAGCTGATCTGTTAGTCCTACAAAGGCAGACTGGTCCCAGGCAAGAAGGGGATCTTTTTGGGAAAGGGCTATTCTCAATTTTGTTTCAGAGTCAAACTATGAACTGAATTCCTTCCCAAAGTTAGTTGGGCTGACACTCAGGAATGAACAAGGACAGCTTAAAAGTTAGAAGCAAGATGGAGTTGGTTATGTCTGATCTCTTTTACTGTCGTAATTTCCTCAGTTATAATTTTTGCAAAGGCAGTTTCATCACTAAAAAGAACCCAAACCTTAGAGTTTTCTTCTTAAATCAATTACTGAATGCTGATATTAAGGGGTAACAAATATTTTCCCAAAATGTCTTAAAACAAAATGTATATTTGTATTTTAAGTTTTTTGTGAAACACAAAGAATAGGGAAAACACAAATATTTGTCAATGTTTAATTCTGTCACCAAATTAATATATTTGTCTATATGAGCTGTGAAGATCAAGTGCTATGACTATAGTTAATAAATTTACATATAAAAATGAGTGTTAGATCTTTTGAAATGGATAATCTCATTTATAAACTTACTCCATTCATTTTGCAAATTCTCCACATTGTTTAGGAACTCTTATTTTGGAATTTCCATTTGCATTAGTCCCAGTTTATGAACCAAACAAAAAAACTGATCTCATTACTTTATTGTCACACTTCATATATAAGGTGCTAAAGCAATATGCCTTAGTAATTGAGATTGTAAATAAATTGAGATTCCCATCTCACATATTGCCTAGTGCTTGGTTTAGCCTGTTTTCAGATGCGAATAGCACATTTTCCTTCCGTCTCATCTCATAAGGAAAGCAATATGTTTAAAACAAAGGATGCACTGATTGCCGCAGTTTCTTCCTCTGAGTCTGTTACTCTAGTTCACTGAATTTACTACCAAGCCCTTCTACCATATTTTACAGCAAATTCTCCAAAAGGCTCTGGGATGAGTCAGTTTTTTTGTGTGATGTAGTTACTTTTGCAAATTATATTATAGCAGGGATTGGTTTCAAAAGGTATTTGAACTGAGTTCCATTTATTTCATTATCTGATTGGGATGCCAAACAGAGTCAGCACAGATACACCTAAGTGTGGGCATGGCTGTTGGGGGTACAATCTTGTTTAAGTAACAGGGCTTGGTCAAATATGCAATGATCTACCTTGTAATAATCAGGAACACACAGTTGTTATAATGCAAGAGAGACGTGAAGATTTAAGCAGCTTAGTCTTACTTACTCTGACAATGAGTGAATGAATGGCTTCTAGAAGAGTGGAATCCTTCACAGGGGATGAGAGAGGAACACAGAAGAATTACAGGTACACAAACAGAAGGGAGCACATTTACTCATTCATTTATTATGACAACCCCACAAAGCCATTGTTATTACTTTTAAAACATCTAGACTCACATAATTAATTTAAATTCTGAATGTTCAGGAAAGTATTAAAAATCTTTGTGCCTCCGCCTTCTCATCTATGTAACTTATAAAAGCAGTAGAAATTAGAGTAAAATTCAGAGCCCAGGGCCTGAGACGGACAGATCACGAGGTCGGGAGTTCGAGACCAGCCTGGCCAACATGGTGAAACCCCCATCTCTACTAAAAATACAAAACTTAGCCAGGTGTGGTGGCGCACGCCTGTAGTCCCAGCTACTCGGGAGGCTGAGGCAGGAGAATCACTTGAACCTGGGAGGTGGAGTTGCAGTGAGCTGATATCATGCCACTGCACTCCAGCCTCGGCAACAGAGTGAGACCACTGCACTCCAGCCTGGGTGACAGAGTGAGACTTTGTCTCAAACAACAACAACAAAGACAAAAAATAAAAAAAAAAAAACCAGTGGCTTAAGCAAAATGGCTTATTTTTCTCTCATTTAAATGAATTCGGGTGGTACACACTCTGAGGTTGGTATGATGGCTCTACAAAGTTGCCTAGTTCTTTGCCAAGTTTCTTCAAGTTCTCTGTTCTGCCAGCCCAAGGTTATGCCCTCATCTGTGTGGCCTAAAATAGTTACCAGTGCTCTAGCCACTACATTCAAGCTCAAGGAGACAGGATTGAAGTAAATAGGGTTGAAGACAGGATTGAGGGCTGCAAATAGGGTTCTTCTCTATCCCTTAAGAAGTCTTCTAGGTTGGCCCACCTGACACTTTTCTTAGATCTCATTGGTCACACAGGGCCACCAGGGAGGACAGGAAATGTTAAACTTTTAGCTGGTCAGCAGTGAGTCCAGCTAAAAATTGGGCTTTGTTCCCAACAAAAAGGTAGGGGAGGGGGTTGGGGGTTGGGTTGTAATATAACTATTATTTTTAAAGTTTTTTACTTAGTAGCTCAAGCAAGTTATTGAGTCTTAGTTTTCTGCTCTATGAAATGGGTACACCCCTAACCTCAAAGGAATATTGTGAATAAATAATAAAAGATTATACATGTGAAACACCCATAGGTAGCTGCTATATCACATAACTCAGGCATTAGACTTTGGGCAGCCCCAGATTAGACATTCCTGACTTTGGAGACATCACTGCGTGGGCAGGGATATGGATACCTGAGACTTGGCTTGTCAGATAGTGGTGGGCATGCACCTCACAGTGATGCCCCATGGTGGCAGAGACAGCATTAGGGGATTGACATATTGCAGAACTCTTCTCTAATGGGGAACAGATGTCTAATAACCTCCTTTCTGGGAGTTGCATAGGATCCAAATTACTTGGTAGAATCACAATGGCAGCAAAGGCATTTGAAGAGTATGGTATGAGATTTCCGACCAATTGTTTTATTTAATTTGAGAAATAAAGATATAAATCATTCTGTAGTTTTTTAGATATTTAGAGAGATGGGAAGGAGTCTAAGAACTTTCTGGATTTTCTGGTTGACCCTTAGGAAAAGCATGGTTACATCCTTCAATAATTCAATCCCTGCTGCTACTTGAGCACATCACAATGACCAGCTCCATCACAAATCAGCACGTGAAACCCAGGGTACCCTGCCTGGAAATGTTTGACTGGGGGCTCTTTTGAATGTTTTAGACATTATACCCCTTTCCTCCTAAATGTTTCAGTGTATGTTTTCTTAAATCAAGTCTTTATAGACTGAATTACGTTCCCCCAAAATTCATACTGAAACCCTGACCTCCAATGTAACTATATTTGGAGACAGGCCCTTTAAGGAAGTATTAGGGTTAAGTGAAGTTGTAAGGGTGGGGCCCTAATCCAATATGACTGGTGTCCTGCTAAGAAGAGGAAGAGATATCATAGTTCTTCCTCTCACCACACATGTGCATGCATGAAAGAAAAACAATGGGAGGACACAGCGAGGAGGTAGTTGTCTGCAAGCCAAGAAGAGATCCCTCACCAGGCACCAACCCTACTGCTCCCTCCAGAACTGTGAGAAAATAAATTTGTGTTGTTTAAACCACCTAGTCAGTAGTATTTTGTAGTGACAGTCCTAGCTAATTAGTACACAAGGACATTCTTTTTGACAACTCCAGGACAATTATCAAAATCAGTCAGTTAACACTGCAACAGTACTACAGATCAATTCAGACTGTGTCCGTTGTTTTAATAATGTCCTTTATAGCAAAAGACATCCCAGATCATGTGTTAACTTCACTGATCATGTCTCTTAGTCTCGTTTAATTTGGAAGAGTTTATCAGTCTTTCTTCCTCTTTATGGCATTGAGACTTTTTATGAGCACAGAGCCAGCAATTCTATAAAATGTTGCTTAGTTTGTGGCTGTCTGGTTATTTACTCATGATTGTATTTGGGTTATGCATTTTGGGCAAGAATACTGCAGAAGTCATAGTGTGCCCTCAAGTGCATCATATGAAGTGTCTGTTTGTCCACTACTCATCATGTTAACTTGACCACTTAAAGTGTATCAGTTTTCTCTACTGTGAAGCTATTTCCTCCTCTTGTAATTAATAAGTATATTGTGGAAATATGGGATATATTATGAAACTATAAATATGCTTCCATTCACTAGTTTTAAAATCCACTATTTTCTTGCGTATTATTGTGGTTGCCAAATGGTGATTTTCTAATCCCAATATCTCTTATACATTTGTTTCTTAGCTTTCTACTATGAAGAAGAGTTTTTCCTTTCACTCATTTTTTTAATAAAAAATAGACTCATATGTATTAAAACATGCTATAATCCATATTCTGATTCCAATCATACTACATAACTCCAAATGTGGTGAAAATACATCACTTGTTCCATGTGATACAGCACTAAGACAAAAAAAACTTCAAATAATTTATATAGAGATGAGATTGTTATAGCTAGAATGGATTTTGTGAATGATAAAAAAGGATAAATCAAAGATGATTGTCTGACTTCTAGGTTGGGTGTAATAGAGAATGTTAGAAAACATTCAGAAAAGATAGTGGTGAGTTGAAATTGAGAAAAGCCCAGTCCAGGGTGAGATAGCTTGATGTGGGAAATGGAAGCTCAAGGATGGTGTCTGTACAGGCAATAGCTATGGGTTGGAGAGCAGCCCTGACAGGAGTGGATTCCTACTGGCTCAGGGAGCCAGGCTGGATGCATCTCTTCCCAGCATCAGCTCCATCTACAGTAATGTCATATGGGTAGCTTGAAGTCAGCCACAGAGGGAGTATGTATACCACAGAAATGAGCAAATAATACAGATCAAATCTTTCCCTCACTCCCTCTTCATGTTATCACCAGAACCAGTTTACCAGCACACTATCCTTTGGGTGCACTGGCATGTAGTATGTGACAGTTAAAATCCTGAAAGTGAATGAGATCATTTATGGATAATGTTTAATATGATAATAAAATATGTTAGTGAAAGAAATCTGGAGTTTCAGTATTAGGGGTAGATGGAAGAAAAGCCACAGAAGAGCTGCAGAAGGGATTGGAGAGAGGTTGAAGGGAAATCAGAGGTGAAGATGTTCAAAGAATCCAGGAGAGTAGAGATTGATGAACAATGTCACATGTAGTCAGATGTCTAGTAAGACCGAATGTGTATTAGGATACTGGATTGGTTGGTGATCTTAGTGAAAGTTTTAGTTCAGTGACTTGAGCAGGTGCTGAATTGGGTTCAGTAGAAATTTAAAAACTGTTGAGTGTGGGAATGGATAATGATGGAGCTTTCAACATCAAGAAAAGTGGCTTTTCCAGGCTCACCTTTTTTTTTTTTTTTTTTTAACAATCTTGCTATAATATAGTCTACAGTTTTAAACCATAGTAAGCATGAGCTAAAGAGTAGTTTGTTTACTTTCTATAAGTGCATTAGCCTATTTTGCTTTTAAATTAGGGAATCTATCTTACAAAATTTGAATTTGATTTATTTTAATCTTGGTATTGAGGCTCTTGGTCAGTTTTGTCAGAATAAATAGCAAATTACATAAAAACAATTTTCAGTAAGTAATTGTACTCATTGAACAGGCTTTTCAATATTACTTGCTGTATTGCAAACCAGGCCTCTTTTTTTTCTGGTTGAAAGTTATGTTTTTTTAATAGAAAATAATGCCTCTTAACAGAGTAATTTGCTTTTTTTAAATTCAGTGGTCAGGTTTGTGAAATTTGTTTTAGAACCATAGGTATATAGAATGAGATATTGTGCCTTTATGTTTTGTCTTTTTAAGCTAAGGTTAATTTTGGTAGCAAAGCAAAACTCAATCTTTTAAGCACTACAATTTTTAATGTATTGTACTTAGTATCAGTTTGTTGGCTATTCTCTGCTTTCCTGGAAAGTTTTTTTTTTTTTATTTTGGAAATAATTTTGGTAACAAAGGATAGTATGCCATTCCATTTGAACAAAGAAAAATGTGAAAATTATGTAAAAATAAATAGGATAGGTTTGAATTCTTACGTGTAGACTGTTTTGTACTGTGCCTGGGAATTTTTTTTTAATCTTTGTGGCAATAATATAGCTCTGGTTAATTTATTTTGCTGCTGCTGAATGATAGTACTTGATATCTAGTTAGGAAAATATTTCCTTAGAGTTGAAATAAATCATTTACAATGTCGGTAAATGCGATTTAGCTGTAAAAATAAAAATGTGTATTGGAAAGATAGGATCTTATCATCCTATGCCCAATTAATCTTTTTAAAAAGTAGTTTCTTAGGTTGGCAATAGAATGCACACTGTTTGAAATAGAAAGGGAAAAAAGGTTTGTAGAATTTTATTAAAAACAACATACCACGTCTGAACAGCAAGAAAACTATGTTTTCAACTTAACTATTGAGTTGGAAAAAATTCTTTGTGTTCACAATAACCAGTCATTTGCAGTTAACAGTGTTAGAAAATAATAATTACAGCCAACTGTGTGTGTGTGTGGCCGGAGAGGGGGAGATCCCATGCCTTATGCTAAGTGTTTTCACTGTATTTTCTTATTTAATCCTCATTACAGCTACAGCTCATAGTAGCACAGTCAATATTTACATCCAGTTCTGAGTCTAGAGAGAGATCTTATACAGAATTACACACCAATGATCAGTGTATTTTCTGAAGAGTGGGAAATAGTGTCAAAAATAGAAATAAAAAGAAATAAAAAGCTCCTGATGACCCTAGTTCTGGTATTTCTTAACATTAGGAAATGAATCAGATATGAATTTGTTTAGAGGAACTTATTACTGTACTAATTTAGGATTAAAAATAAAGAGAAAGCCCTCTTTTTTGCTGTTGTTAAAATTGTCAACTTCAAATGTGATGTATATAGTCAAATGAGATAAACTAAATATATTTCCTCTATGAGAAAATTTTTCTGAAATTATTTACTGTTAGTTTTGCTCAAGCTGTTAGGAGCTCAAAGACATTTGAGGTTCAAATATTCTCTTTAGCCTTCTTTTTCTCTTGTCATTATCAATAAAACTGCTCTGGAAATTCCAGGTTTTAACTGGAGAAAAAGCAAAAATGGAAAATTAATTTTTTTTAACCTCCTGTTCCACCAACACTGGTTTAGTTTTTCCTATTCGAAGTGATAGGAAGGGTTGGACGCAGGGGCTCATGCCTGTAATCGCAGCACTTTGGTCAGCCAAGGCAGGCGGATTGCTTGAACTCAGGAGTTTGAGGCCAGCCTGGCCAAAATGGCGAAACCCTGTCTCTATGAAAATATAAAACATTAGCTGGGCATGGTGGCACACGCCTATAGTCCCAGCTACTTGGAAAGCTAAGATGGGAGGATTGCTTGAGCCTGGGAGACGGAGGTTGCAGTGAGCCGAGATCATACCACTGTACTCCATGGCTAGGTGACAGAGGGAGAACCTGTCTCAAAAAAAAAAAAAAATGATAGGAAATAGACTATCTTTACTAATTTTAGTTTAGGTATAAGCTTGCTTGTTAGTGCAGACATTTCAACTTCTGAATAATTAGGAGAGTCTATTTGCAAGCTTTGCTTCTTTCAGGTATGCTACATTCTTTTTATTTCTCTTCTTGTATGGGATTTTCTGCTTTTTGTGAACTTTTGAATTGTCTAAAAGAGAAAATTATACAGTCGCATTTAGCAGCGCTTTTCAGAACTGCTGTGGCAAGAGAGACCATGATTTAGTGTTTATTTATGTTACACACAATTGACTGCGGGTCCCTTGCGTATACACACGTAGACACACAAAAGCATATTTTGCGTTGAGGCTTATGTAGAATTTGATGAGTATAATTTAGTTCAGATGCTTCAAGATTTTCTTTAAATTACTTCTTTCTGGATTGGAATAATAATGTTTATCCTAACTTCTTTCTTTTTAAATCTTCTTTCTTCTACTTTTTGGGATTCTGTTTCTAGATGCTTTTTTGGGAAGAGTGATGTAAATGAATTTGACTTTGCTTTTTAAAAGTCAGAGTTTCTACTGATTTCAGTTTTAAACCCTCTTGACCTCGTGATTGAATCCTAAACCTGGTATTGTACATTAAAGGAATGAAGCCAGGAGTTCTGGTAATTCATTTGCCGACAAGGGTAACCATCTCCAGCTGCAGATGTTGAATCTATGTTTTAATATCTGTTCATGCTTTGAGTTTACTGTTCTTTAGTAATGAGGTGGCATGGCACAAGGGAAAAGACACAGGCTTTAGAACTAGGTTAGCTTAACTTTTTAAGAAAATTTGTTTATTTTATAACACAGATGCACAGGAAAATCTAGAAATAGTAGAGAGAGATTCTCTATCCCCTTTGTTCAGTTGCTTCCAATGGTTACATTGTACATAGCTATAGTACAATATCATAACCAGGAAATTGACATCCATGCAATATGTGTGTATAGTTCTATGCCATTTTATCATATCTGTGGATTCATGTAAGCACCACCACACTCAAGATATATAGCTACTCTGTCAACCCAAAGATCTCCCTCATGCTGTCTCTTTGTAGTTACACCCACTCTCTACCCCACAACCAACTCTAAGTCCTAGCAACCACTAATCAGTTTTCCATCTCTGTACTTGTGTCACTTTGAGAATGTGATGTAAATGGAATCATACATTATGTGGTCTCTTACAGTTGGCTTTTTTTCACCATAATGTCTTTTAGATTCATCCAAGTTGTTGACTGCATCAATAATTCTTTCCTTTGTATTGCTATGAAGTGTTACATAATACAGATGTACTATAGTTTGTTTAACCATTCACAGACTGTGGTACATTTTGGTTTTTTTTAGTAAATTTTTTTTCTTTCAGTTTTGCGCTATTACAACTAAAGCTGCCATGAGCATTCATGTACAGGTTTTTGTGTGGGCATTTTTTATTTATCTGGGATAAGTGCCCAGGAGTGCAACTGATGGGCTTTATGGTAACTGTATGTTGAGCTTTTTAAGACGCTGCCAAACTATATTCCAGAGTGACTCACGGTAATATAGGAGAGATCCTGTTTCTCTGGACTTCCCCAGTATTTGATATTGCTCTATTTTTCATTTTAGCTGTTCTAGTAGGTGGTTAGTGATACCAGTATTATCTCATTGTGGTTTTATTTTCATTTCCCTAATGGCTAGTGACATTGGCCATCTATTGGCTATTTGTATATATTCTGTAGTGAAACACCACTTCATGTCTTTTATCCATTTTCTAGTTGGATCACCTTTTTTGTTGTTGTTGAGTTTTGGGAGTTCTTAATTTATTATAGATACTAATTCTCTATCAAATAAGTATCCTTAAAAAACACTGTTTTTAGTTAAAATTTCAAACATATACACAATTTTTAAAATAAGTGTAATAAACCCCTCATCTTTCACCTTCAACAATTACTGTCATATGTAAAGGAATTAACACTAAATCCTAATATCATTAAATGGGCAATTACTCATTACATTTCCCTTCATTTCATGTTTTCACTTGTGTATTCTGAACCATATACAAATAATTTCTATACATTGCAATTGGTTGATATGCCTCTAAAGTCTCTATTAATCTGTAGATTCCACCTTCCCATCTCACTCTTTCTCCTCTTTTGCTTTTGCCTTTATTTTTGTGGGGGTGGGAGGGGGAGGGGCCTTGTAACACTTCCCACAATCTGCATTTTGCTGACTGTGCCCTATGATGTCAGTTGATGTGTGCCTCTGTCCACTGAATTTCCTGTAAGTTCACAGCTAGATCTAGAGGCTTGAGTGCATTCAAGGTTTCTCTTTTTGGTTAGAATACTTCATAGATGGTGCTGTGTACTTCTAGGAGGAAGTAAATAATTCTGGTTGTTTTTCTTTTTGTGAAGTGAGTTGCCATATACCTAGGTCCGTTATTTCAGTATTGGTTGAAAAACTGAAATTCTAATTCTAGTATTCTCTCTTAATTTACTAGCCAGAATATCTATCAAGAGAGACATTCCTTCATGAGACATTTGATTACCCTGAGAGGAAGGTACAGTTTATATAGGCAACACAGGACAAATGCTTGATTCTTTCATTTTCTTTACCTGTTTTTATTCTTACTAATGTTCAAATATTCCACCTTGGTCCACAGGAACTACTCTAAGTTACTTTATATGACTTCAGTTGTCATGCTTTATATTCCAGATATTTCATGTTCATCTTGTTTCTTTTTTTTTTTTTTTTTTTGGAGACAGGGTCTTACTCTGTTGCCCAGGCTGGTGTGCGGTGGTGCAATCTGGGCTCACTGCAACCTCTGCCTCCCAGGTTCAAGTGATTCTTCTGCCTCAGCCTCCCAAGTAGCTGGGATTACAGGCATGTGCCACCATGCCCGGCTAATTTTTGTATTTTTTGGTAGAGATGGGGTTTCACCATGTTGGCCAGGCTGGTCTCGAACTCCTGGCCTCAAGTGATCCACCCACCTCGGCCTCCCAAAGTGCTGGGATCAGTTAGACCTTCATTGCTTATTTAGTTTACTTCTCATCTGGCAGTTTCAGGGGTTGCCCCTACTTAAGAGTCTCATGTCCCACAAGGCACCATATCTCTTGTAACAACTCCACAGGCTTCCAGTGTTCACATAAGAGACATACCCAATTACAAGAATTAACACATTCAGGGAAGCCCAAATTACACCACTCTCATCAGGTATTTATGGGACATTTATAATTCCTCCTTGTTTAGTTGCAGTTTATCAATCAGGGATAATATTACCATAGGCAATATTGACTGTAACGTAGTTGGCATTCTATCTTCATCTGATTTCTAGTGGAACAGAGAGAAAATTAACTAAAAGTCACATTCTTATGTATAAAAGGAAAGGG